>NC_000002.12:29964875-30117625 GCF_000001405.40 Homo sapiens | reverse complement strand
TGTGTCACCCAGGCTGGAGTGCAGTGGTGCAATCATGGCTCACTGCAGCCTTGACCTCCTGGGCTCAAGCGATCCTCCTACCTCAGCCTCCCCAGTAGCTGGTACCACAGATTTGTACCACCACACCCAGCTAATTTTTAAAAGTTTTGTAGAGATGGGGTTTTGCCACATTGCCCAGGCTGATCTCAAACTCTTGGACTCAAGCAATCCTCCTGCCTTGGCCTCTCAAAGTGCTGGGATTACAGATGTGAGCCACTGAGCCTGGCCTCAGTGGCTTCTTCCTACCTCACACAATGTCTGGCGTAGGAGCCATAAAACTTGGTTGCATGGATGAATAAGTGAACCAGGAAGGCCTTTGAAGCTTTTCCGCACTGCTTAGATTTCAGGGTGAAATTTGGGGGATCTCTTGAACTTCAGTTTCTTAGACTCCAGCAAAGAACAGGACCTGTAACTTGGAAGTGAAGGTGAGAGAGCCACAATGACAGGAGCATTTTTAAGCTCTGACCTGCTAGCCTAGAGCCTAGCGCCAGGCCCTGCTCTAGGCTCTTTGCATGAATTATCTGGTGAATCTCACAATTGCTGTTATAATCTCCATTCTTCAGCCAGTCCTGGGAGTAAGGGGAAGGGTGCGTGAGTACCAGGTCAGAAGAAAAGCAAGAAGTAGGTGGTAGAAACTCTAAACAGAAAAAGAAGCAGGCTCAATTTGGGGGGTCTGCTGGAAGGAACAGAAGAGGCCCCAGGACTCTGGCTTCAGGGCCAGGGACTGTGTCTGGGTTGCTTGGTCAAAGACAGACAGGCTTCACCCAGAGCTGGCCAAATGCTGGACACTGGGCTAAGAGGACTTTATATGCCTGCTTCATCCAACTGCACAACAGCCCACCGAAGAAAGGGACTTTCAGAACAGTTAAGTCACTTGCTCAGTGTCATACAGCCAGTGGCAGAGGTGCAATTGCAAAGTCCCCTTGCTTACTGGGGCATTCTCAGATGGTCAGTGAAACAGCAAGCTCTGGTTCGCTTCCTGAGTGTAGCCCAGTTGAGTTCATTTGAGGCACTGACACCATCTTAGAGATTTATACAAATACCACACTGCTCAAAGCAGCAAGGGCACGCCTGTAAGAGCAGATGCACAACCTGCCTTCATAACAGGAGAGCAATTGTAACTGAGGTTCCTCGGTCTGGAGGCCACCAGAGAATCCCCTAAGCCCAGCCCAGCCTCTTGATCAGGACTTTTTGGGCTAATGCCCCAGGTCATTTCTTTGCTGTCTGACTGAGCCTCCTCCCTCTGATAACCGTACAGTGCCATCTCTTCTATAAAAACAAAAGTTTTCTTCTAAAGCTGTCTTCCACCGCCAACCAGAAGCCCAAGGCCTCTTATTTCTTACAAGTTTCTGCTCCCAGAGCCATTTTATTTCTCCTTATTGGGTGATCAACTTTTCCCTCTTCGCCTGGGACTTTTCTGCTTTTAGGATTGAAAGTCCTTGGTCGTAGGCAGTCCCCTCAGTCCCAGGTAAAAACCAGAATGGTTGGTCACCGCTCTACACTGGGAGAGGGTAGAGAAATGTTTTTTAATTCTCATCTATACATCAGTTTCTTTAGCTGCTTAATGTATGCAGCCTGTCCGATTTTGTGACAAACTGTCACAACATTCCCAGAAATGGCGGCGGATGGAACCACATTCAGGGATCCCACTGGAGTGCACTTGTCCGACCTAGTTGACTTGTTGCAGACCTGCACTTCCGCTGTTGAACACTAGATGGTGGCCTTGCACCCTTGTTTAGAGAAAGTGCGACACTGAACCTGGCCTTCAGGAAGTGCTGGGCATTTGGGAAGAACATGGGCCAGAGAGAAGTGAAAAAATATATGCTTATGGGACAGCCTAGAAGAAGCAGACCAGTGTGCAATGGCAAGCGCTAAAAAGGAAAAATATCAGATTTGGCTTAAAATTCCTTAAGCATTTAGACATTGGGATGGAAAGAAAGGCATGTTTATTTTACCAGGAAGTGGGTCTGCTTTCACCAGATGATCTGAATAACTTGTCCACTGGGAATACATCGTATAAAGGAGAAAAAAAAAAAAGCGAACAAGTTGGTCAGACACAGGGAACATCTTCTGGGTGGGTTTAATTACAGCTTTAGCTCCCTGGGTGAGCTACCATCCCGATACCAGAGCCGGCGCTGCAGGTGTGCTTAGCCAGCCCAGCCAGGGCCGAAGATACTGACAAGACCGGAGGAGGCCCCTCTCGAGACTGAGTGACTCACACCACCTGCAGAGAGCACAGTTGCCACGAGCCTTGCTCATCCTCCTCGAGCAGCTAAATTTATATTCTGAGAGCAGAACACTGGCGCTGGAGCTGTCAGGAGGGAACAGGGAGGAGATGGGAAGGAAGAGTGCCATCATCTTGGAGCGGGCTCGGGGGTGGAAGTGGATTCACATTCTAAGGGCTTTGTAAGTGAGCCCACAAGATTTTTCATGGAGAAACTGGTGTCTGAGAAATTACAGTTTTCTCTTAAATGTTCCCCTCTCCTCCACTTAAACCCCAGTAACAGCTGTCAAGGTCAAGGGAAAATCTTCCCTTTCATTCTCTGAAGTTTTGCTGAAAAATCAACTCACAAAAGGCAGATAATAAGAGAAAAGGCATAATACACATTTATTAGCATGCACAAAGCTGAATCAGAGTGACTGCCCCATATCCTGGTGGGGCCCAGATACTTACATAGCCTTATTTCAGATGGAAGCGGGGAGATGGGGAATATAGGTACTTCTGTTGAGAGGCAAGAAATGATTACTAGGGAGAATGAATGGATCGGGAACATAGATTAACTTGTAAATGGTTATCTCTGGAAATTGAATGAGCCTGAGAGACAGACGTTATCCTGTGAAAGGGTCTCTTCAGGTGTGGTTACATTGGATAGATAATAAGATAACAGGAAGAAGAAGGAAAAACAATTACTTTCCTTGGTGGGTTCACCTGGTCTTTATGCAGATAGGATAAAAGTCTCTTCTAGCATCTGTTGATCTCTAAGGGCCTTCAAAATACTCATTATAGGCCAGACATGGTGGCTTATACCTGTAATCCCAGCAGTTTGGGAGGCCAAGGTGGGAGGATTTTTTGAGCCCAGGAGTTTGAGACTAGCCTGGGCAATATAGTGAGATCCCCTCCCCACTGCCATCTCTACAAAAATAATTTTAAAAATTAGCTGGGCACGATGGTTCACACCTGTAGTCCCAGCTACTCAGGAGGCTGAGGTGGGAAGATCTCTTGAGCTCAAGAGGTCAAGGCTGCACTGAGCTGAGATCACGTTGCTGTACTCCAGCCTGAGTGACAGAGTGAGACCCTGCCTCAAAAAAAAAAAAAGTTAAAAAACCCCAAATCCTCATTATACCAAGGAGCCATATTTTGGGGTGAAGTTGCCTGCACCCCTTCATTACTAACAAGTTATGCTACTGAACTCCCTTTCAAAAGCTTGAGTTAACGATTAACACCCTGCCCTTCACAAGACATACTCATCAACCCAGAGAATGGTGGAGCTGGCCTGGCACTCAGTGACCCGGAGGCTTTTCAAACTGCTGGGGAGAGCTAGCTCTCCATACTCACCCCAGGGTTTTCTTATACAAAGATGCATTTCATTCTGCATGTAGAATATTTAAGATATCCAAAGAAGCTGTTACCACTTTTTATCTTTTTATGAGATCTGGAAAAACTGACCTTGAAAAATAAATCCTGTACTAAAAATACAAGTTTGATTAATTTTACAAGCTCAGAGAGATGAAGTAAAACCACAGCCTTCCCCTAGAGCTGGTCCAGCAGGATGACTAAGCCCAGGCAGAGCCCAGTCATAAGGCACGCTTTTCCTGCCCTGATGTCATGTCCTTGGAGCGGGTTAGAAGAGGTCTCTAAAGCAGTGGCCTGGAGTGGAGTCACAGCGTGGAAGATGAGGGGGTTTGCAGGAGAAAGCTTGAAGGAGGCTTCACCACAGAGCTTCAGTGGAACCTCACAGTTGCCTTGGTCCTTCAGAGAGTGGGCCTTTGATGCCTCAAATCTGTTTTTTCTTAGACTGTGGGGCTGGAGGAAGGTTTTCACTTTTGCATCTGCCCTGCAGGTGTAAGTCTGATAGGGCACCAGCTGAGGACAGCCCTGAACTGCAGGGCTGGCAGGAATGATCCAGACTGGATAGAAACGCCATGTGAGTGGTGGCGAGTAGTCGTGTGACAGTAGGCAGATAGTCAGGTATCAGCAGGGCGGGAGAGGCCTCCCCCCAACACACACCAGGAGTGCTGGGCGACCATCAGGTGAGGGTCAGGTGGTTGTTACCTATTTCTCTAAAGTAATAATTGTTCACAGTGGCACCAGGGAAAGGCAGTCTCCTAATAGATAGAAAACATCTGAAACTGGTGATCAGCAGCTTCCCCATAAGATCTCAGGAGAGGGGAGAAGTAACCCAAGACCCCGAAAGTATGTTGTATTAGAGTTCTCTAGAGGGAAAGAACTAATAGGATAGATGTCTATATGAGGAAGAGTTTATTAAGGAGCATTGACTCATACGATCACAAGCTGAAGCCCCACAATAGGCCATCTGCAAGCTGAGGAGCAAGGAAGCCAGTCCGAGTCCCAAAACCTTAAAAGCAAGGAAGCCGACAGCACAGCCTTCAATCTGTGGCCGAAGGCCTGAGAGCCCCAGGCAAACCAATGGTTTAAGTCCAAGAGTCCAAAGCTGAAGAACTTTGTCTGATGTTCGAGGGCAGGAAGCATCCAGCACGGGAGAAAGATGAGGGTCGGAAGACTCAGCAAGTCGGCTTCTCCTACCTTCTTCTGCCTGGTTTATTCTAGCGGCATCAGCAGCTGATTGGATGGTGCATACCCCCATCGAGGGTGGGTCTGCCTCTCCCAGTCCAGTGATTCAAATGTTAATCTCCTTTGGCAACACCCTCACAGACACACCCAGTAACAATACTTTGCGTCCTTCAATCCAGTCAAGCTGACGCTCAATATTAACCATCACATATGCCACCGTATAAAACCCCAAGTCAAGAGGTCAAGCCACGCAATTGGTCTTTCCAGTTGCCCTCTTGGTGTTCTTCCAAGTGTATCTTCCTTCCTTCCTTTCATTCACTATGCTACAGCTTTTTTTTTTTTTTTTTTTTTGAGACGGAGTCTTGTTCTGTCACCCAGGCTGGAGTGCAGTGGCGCGATCTCGGCTCACTGCAAGCTCCACCTCCTGGGTTCACGCCATTCTCCTGCCTCAGCCTCCTGAGCAGCTGGGATTACAGGAGTGTGCCACCACACCTTGCTAATTTTAGTATTTTTAGTAGAGACGGGGTTTCACTATGTTGGCCAGGCTAGTCTTGAACTCCTGACCTCAAGTGATCCGCCCTGCCTGAGCCTCCCAAATGCTGGGATTACAGGTGTGAGCCACCGCACCTGGCCTGCTCTACAGCTTTTTAATAAACTTTCACTTCTGCCCTAAAACTTGCCTTGGTTGCCAGGCACAGTGGCTCATGCCTGTAATCCCAGCACTTTGGGAGGCTAAGGTGAGTGGATCACCTGAGGTCAGGAGTTCGAGACTAGCCTGGCCAACATGGTGAAACCCTGTCTCTACTAAAAATACAAAAATTAGTCGGGCGTGGTGGCGGGCACCTGTAATCTCAGCTACTCAGGAGGCTGAGGCAGGAGAATCACTTGAGCCCGGGAAGCGGAAGTTGCAATGAGCCGAGATCGCACCAGCCTGGCTGACACAGTGAGACTCTTTCTCAAAAAGACCAAAAAAAAACAAAACAAAACTTACCATGATGTCTCCTTCTGCTTTATGCCCCTCAGCCAAATTCTTTCTTCTGAGGAGGCAAGAATTGAGGTTGCTGCAGACGCAGAGGGATAACCACCACCGCTAGGAGTAGAAGGAGGGAGCCTTGAGCGGTAGGAAAACAAACCCGGGTCTCTTAACTCCCCAGCCCTGGTTTCTTCACCTCTCACGTTAGGTATAGTAAAAGAGGCTCCACCCATTGCCCATGGTCATTTTCAGAAACAAAATGATGAAGGTGACCAGGCGTTTTAAAATAGAAAGTCAAGTATTTAAAATAGCTCACAGTTTTTGAGCACGTACCATGTTAAGCACTTTGCCACCAGCTGTGGTACTTCTGCGGTGGCACTTCTTACACAAGTGAGAAGCAGCGACACCGTGACACCTGCACGCCGGAGCCCTGCGTTAGTGAGAAGCAGCGACACCGTGACACCTGCACGCCGGAGCCCTGCGTTAGTGAGAAGCAGCGACACCGTGACACCTGCACGCCGGAGCCCTGCGTTAGGCTGGGTAAGGGCGGGGACCTGGGCATCACACAGTCTTAGATGTGGGCCTGCCTCCAACAGCTCCCTCCTGGGTGTGATGCTGAAGGGGGTCCTTGACACCTCTGAAGTCTCAGTCTCCTCAAGGTCACACCCAGCTTATAGGATTGTGCTTCTGTGGATTAAACAAGACACAGCAGTCCTCCCTTATCCATGGTTCTGTTTTCCTTGGCCAAAAATATTAAATAGAAAATTCCAGAAATAAACAATTTATGTTTTAAATTGAATGTTATGATGAAATCTCACACCGTCCTGCTCCATCCTGGCTGGGCGTGAATCATCCCTGTGTTCAGCATATCCACTGTCTATACCCGCTACCCCTTAGTCACTTAGTTACTGTCTAGGTTGTCAGATCAAAACCACAGTATGGGCCGGGCATGGTGGCTCATGCCTGTAATCCCAGTGCTTTGGGAGGTGGAGGTAGGAGGATCATTGGAGGCCGGGTGTTTAAGGCCAGCCTGGGCAACATAGTGAGACCCTGTCTCAACAAAACATTAAAAAGTTAGCCAGGCGTGGGTGGTATACATCTATAGTCCTAGCTACTTGGGAGACTGAGGTGGGAGGATCGCTTGAGTTCAGGAATTGGAAGCTACAGTGAGCTATGATTGTGCCACTGCACTCCAGCTTGGGTGACAGAGGGAGACCCTGTCTAAAAAACAACAAAGAAACAAACAAAAACATAGTCTATAGAAAGCTTGATACGATCTGCAGTTTCAGGCATTCACTGGGGGTCTTGGAATGTATCCCTCCTGAATAAGGGGGTACCACTATCTATTACACACATATAACATTCAGCAAAATACTTATCAAGGGCCTATAAATATTAGCTTACAAAAGATACTTTTATTTGGGCTTCTGTCCTAGTCACTTAGAGGTCATGCCTGCACCTGCCTTTGAAGAGCTTACAACCTAATTAGGAGGTAAGACATTAACATGAGCAGACCACTAACATATAGGGCAGCCAGTAAAAAATAATAATGAGGTGATTCAGACTTTATGTATTTTAAGGGATTTAGAGTAAGGAGAGTGGTAACTTCAAGCTGGGGTAGGGGCTGGGGTATGGAATGAGAATGACTTTTTGCAAAGCAAACTATACATCCATATATTGGATCTTCTGTCACCCTCGAGGCAACCGTGTAAGGGTAATGCCAACATTACCCTTGGGTTATTACCCAAGGGTAATAACCATGACTGGGTAATGCCAACATCCTGTCCTTGTGTAATCAGTTTCCTGCAGGTCTCTCGCATGCCAGTTACAGTTTATACTGGTGGCTCCAGGCTGTTTGGAGTAAACCATGGGAATAAAATGGAATAGAGCGGTGGTTCTCAAACGTAAGTGTGTTCAGGATCACTTGGAAGGTTTATTAGAAACTCCACAGGCCCTGTCCCCAGAGATTTGGAAATGGGAGGTTTAGGGTACGGCCCATGAGTTTGCATTTCTAGCCAGTCCCCAGGTGATGGCTGGGCTGAGTGTCTGTGGGCCACACGCTGGGAGCAGTGCTGGAGTGGAGCAGTGTCCAGGGCTGCCCTGGGATGAGAGCATGCATCTGTGTCCCCTACTTACAGGGGGTGGCCTCTGATGTACTCTCAGAACCTGGACTTCTTCCTGTATAAACCTTTGAGGCTCATGTCTTGGGTGACCTGGAGAGAATTACTTTTTTTTTTTTTTTTTGATGAGATGGAGTTTCGCCTTTCTTGCCCAGGCTGGAGTGCAATGGCGCAATCTCGGCTCACCGCAACCTCCGTGCCTCCCAGATTCAAGCAATTCTCTTGCCTCAGCCTCCTGAGTAGCTGGGATTACAGGCATGTGCCACCATACCCAGCAAATTTTGTATTTTTAGTAGAGACGGGCTTTCTCCATGTTGGTCAGTCTGGTGTCAAACTCCCGACCTCAGGTGATCCGCCTGCCTCGGCCTCCCAAAGTGCTGGGATTACAGGCGTGAGCCACCGAGCCCGGCGATAATTACTTAATCTCTCTGAACATCTGTGGAAATGATAGCTACATGGTAGAGTTGCTGTGAGGACAAATGCAAGTGGAAGCTCACTGCACGGGCCCCCTTGCCTTGGAGCCTTCCTCTCACGCCCTAGACCCCACCAACCTCTCCCACCTGACTTTTCAGGCTTACACTTTCACCTGCTGCCGCTATGGGGTATGGCTGTCCCTGTCTGTCTTGGTTGATTCTTTTTGGTCCTAGATCCTCTTCCAGGACTTTGACTGACACACCTGAACTCTTCTGACTGACCCCACACCTGGCCATAGTTCCTCCTCCCCTGTTGGTCTTTCTTGCTGCCAACACATTTCTGAAAATATTGTCCTTTAGGTGTTTTTACATAAAGGCATCTGGACTCTGTGAACCCTTCTTATTGTCGTAGCTGACTCTGGTGTCCAGAAGGATCAGAACGTGGGAAGTCCTAGTTTATAGTGGTTGTATGTAATTTTGGCTGTTCCCTCCAGCCAGTCACAGAATGAGCATGTGAGCCAGGCTGGGCTATTCTTTGTGCTTCCCTTTCTTGCTCACAATAATTGGTCAGTGGAGTGAGCACTGACCAAGGCCAAGTCAATCAATGTTCTTCCCTGGGGTTTTTGATACAGTAACTAATAAAATCTACCACCTCAGATGATGCAGTGTAGCAGGTTGTATTTTTCAAAGATGGTTACAACAACGTCCCCCAGACGTTGCTGCGTATGATGTAACATTTTTATTTCACCTATAAAGAGGTGGGGTTGGTTTTCCCTTTTCTTGAATCTCGGTAAGGGTGGGACTAAGGTGAAAATAATGCTTTGTGACATCTAAGGCTGTGTAATAAAAGATAATGCAGTTTGCATCTGATCCTCTGGGGACAGTGCTTTTGGAACCCTGGAACCATGCTATGAGGAAGTCCAGGCAGCCACACTGGCCATAGATAGGTGCTCCGGCCACACCCCCAGCTGAGGTCCCCAGCAGCTAACATCAATCCTCAGACAAGCAGGCAAGGACCCCTCAGGCATTCCAGCTCCCAGCTGTCCAGTGACCTCTTGCCTTTGAACCCCAACTGATGCCACACAGACTAGAGATTAGATGTCCCCTCTGAGCCCTGCCCAAATTATAGATTCATGAGCAAAACAAATTCTTGTTGTATGAAGCCACTAACTTTGGGGTGGCTTGTAATAAATGACTGAAATATGGAACTTGGTAATAAGAATTTGGAATTTCCATCAGCATGTCCCCATTATATAAAGAAAATTTATTGTAAATAGGGGAGAATGCAGAGACAGCAGAAATAAAAGTGATTCCAATGATAATCGAGTCCCCAATTTCAGTCTCCAAGGTCCTCAGATCCTGACTTCCTTCTGCAACTTTTCCACTCACACTGAGCTGCCTACCCCAGTTTCTTCCCAGCAAATCCATTTTCTTGCTTAAGGTAGTTTGATTTGGGTTTCTGCTGCCACGTTCACAAAGAGGTTTTTGTGGTGCTTGTTTCCTTCAGAATGTGCTGTCCATCAGTGCTCATTGACGCGGGGTCCAAAGAGCAGCATGATCAGCCTCTACTGGGAGAAAAGCAAAATTCCAGGCACCATCATCCCAAGCCTACAGAATCTGTGGGGGTGGGGCCCTGGAATCTGTTTTTTTTTTTTTTTTTTTTTTTTTTTTTTTTTTTGAGACTGAGTCACGCTCTGTCGCCCAGGCTGGAGTGCAGTGGTATGATCTCGGCTCACTGCAACCTCTGCCTCCCGGTTCAAGCAATTCTCCTGCCTCAGCCTCCCGAGTAGCTGGGATTACAGGCGCCCGCCACCACACCGGCTTATTTTTTTACTTTTATTTTTAGTAGAGACAGGGTTTCACCATGTTGGCCAGGCTGGTTTCCAATTCCTGACCTCAAGTGATCTGCCAGCCTCGGCCTCCCAAAGTGCTGGGATTACAGGCATGAGCTACCGTGCCCAGCAAGAATCTATATCTTTTTGTTTGTTTTGGGACAGGGTCTTGCTCTGTTGCCCAGGCTGGAGCATGGTGGTGCAATCATAGCTCACTGCAGCCTCGACCTCCCAAGGCTCAAGTGATCCTCCCACCTCACCCTCCCAAGTAGGTGGGACCACAGGCATGTGCCACCACACTCAGCTAATTTTTTAAATTTTTTGTAGAGAAGGGTGTTAGTCCAAACTGTACCTTTTTTTTTTTTTTTTTTTGAGGCGGAGTTTCACTCTTGTTGCCCAGGCTGGAGTGCAATGGTGCGATCTTGGCTCACAATGACTTCTGGTCACCACGACCTCTGCCTCCCAAGTTCAAGCAATTCTCCTGCCTCAGCCTCCTGAGTAGCTGGGATTACAGGCATGCACCACCATGCCTGGCTAATTTTGTAGCTTTAGTACAGTTGGGGTTTCTCCATGTTGGTTAGGCTGGTCTCGAACTCCTGACCTCAGGTGATCCACCTGCCTCGGCCTCCCAAAGTGTTAGGATTACAGGCATGAGCCACCGCACCCGGCCCTAACTGTACCATTTTATAAGCCTCCCAACCCTGCCATTTCACTGACCTTGGTCAAAGTGAAACATTCCATGGGTGTTTGGGCCGTGAGAAACAGCATGTCTAACCATCTGACCACAAGGCACAGGAACGTCCTTATCATACCCTGCCTGGCAAAGGCCCAACTGAAGGAACATCCCTGTCATATTCTGCTGGGAAAAGGTGCAAGGAACATCACATTCTGCGGGAACAAGAGTCAAACTGCCCCATCGTGGGGACGTCTTACCAACATCTTCCCTGGCAGCAAACCATACTGCCCAGACCCCTCCCCTCGAGGCACATAAGTACCCTAGCCTGTAAGCGGTGGTGGCTCTGGCATTAAGCTGGTCCCCCCGCCTCCACAGGTTTTTGCAATCTACCTGTGTTGCTGTAGAGCCACCCTCTCTCTCTCTGTGTCTTTCTTTAACCCTCTCCTTACCTTTAAAAAAACCTAACAAAGCAGCTGGGCGCAGTGGCTCATGCCTGTAATCCCAGCAGTTTGGGAGGCCGAGGCGGGCGGACCACCTGAGATCAGGAGTTTGAGACCAGCCTGACCAACATGGAGAAACCCCGTCTCTGCTAAAAATACAAAATTAGCTGGGCATGGTGGCGCATGCCACTACTTGGAGGCTGAGGCAGGAGAATTGCTTGAACCCGGGAGGTGGAGGTTATGGTGAGCCGAGATGGCACCATTGCACTCCAGCCTGGGCAACAAGAGAGAAACTCCATCTCAAAAAAAAAAAAAAAAAAAAAAAAAAATCTAACAAAAGGATATCACTATGTTACCCAGGCTGTTCTGGAACTCTTGGGCTCAAGAGATCTACCTGCTTCAGTCTCCCAAAGTGGTGAGATTACAGGCTTGAACCACTGTGCCTGGCCAGAATCTTTACCTTAGCAAGCTTGCCTGGTGATTTTTATATGTGTTATAGTCCCAGAAACTTGTTCTACATTATAGCAGGGCCCCATTTTTTCTCACACTTTTTAAAGCATTGGTTAGAGGATGGTGCAAAATTCCTGAAGGTCAGCTCCCGAGTCTGCCTCATCTACTGTGTCACTCCTGTGAGCTGCATTCCAGATGAGGAGTGCTGTTCGCAGAGGGGTGGAAAAGGAAGGTGGATGATGGTGACACTGCAAGGAAGTCATTTTCCCATCAAGATAAAGGGTTTGAAATTGTTCATTCATAGCCATTTATTTTCTCTACAGCATATGCTGAGCCCTTTCCCAGTGTTGGGAGCATATCAAGATATTGACACAGTTCCTGTCCTTAAGGTAATTAAACTTTAGTTTTGGAAAAAGATGTGACTAAATTTTTTTTTTTTTTTTTTTTGAGACGGAGTCTCACTCTATCGCCCAGGTTGGGGTGCAGTAGCTCAGTCTTGGCTCACTGCAACCTCTGCCTCCCAGGTTCAGGCAATTCTCCTGCCTCAGCCTCCCGAGTAGCTGGGATTACAGGTGCCCACCACCATGGCTGGCTAAGTTTTGTTTTTTAGTAGAGATGGGGTTTCACCATGTTGGCCGGACTGGTCTCAAACTCCCAACCTCAAGCATCCACCCGCCTCGGCCTCCCAAAGTGTTGGGATTACAGGCATGAGCCACCACGCCCAGCTGACTAAAATAATTTAATAGGCCGGGTGCAGTGGCTCATGCCTGTAATCCCAGCACTTTGGGAGGGTGAAGCAGGCGGATCACCTGAGATCGGAAGTTCGAGACCAGCCTGACCAACATGGAGATACCTGGTCTCTACTAAAAACACAAAATCAGCTGGGCATGGTGGCGGGCACCTGTAATCCCAGCTACTCAGGAGGCTGAGGCAAGGAGAATCACTTGAACCCAGGAGGCGGAGGTTGTGGTGAGCCGAGATCGTGCCATTGCGCTCCAGCCTGGGCAAGAAGAGTGAAATTCTGTCTCAAAAAAAAAAAAAAAAAAAAAATTAGTAATACACTGTAGGTAGCCCATGCCAAAAAGCCAAATGAAAGATCCAGCCATGCACCCTGGACACCCTATACAATCACTATTTCAAATATCTTGTTCCCTGGCCCCACATACTATCGAAACATCCTCCAAAGTCCAATTTATGAGCATCCAAGTGACTTTTCCCAGAGTGTCTTTCACATCTGTCAACAGCATAAAACTCTGTATCCACATGTTCCAATTTTGGGTTCAGAAATACAGTCTCTATAGACAGGTTTTTAATGAAAGGAAAGATAAATGGTCATCTAGTGGTGAAGCCAAGAAAAGATTAGCAGAGGATGTAAAATGAAGCTTGGTCTAAAAGGGGGATGGGCAGCCTAGGGTGGAGACCAGAAGTGCTGAGGACCAGCCAGCAGGCCAGCGAGACTGTATTGTAGAGGAGTCTGCAGAGCAGGCAGGTGGGAACTGGGTTTGGCTTTGTAAGCCATAGTGGGCCACAGGAGATTAGAGAATGAGAGCTCGGGATGGAAATATTCTCTGAGAAGAATTATTCCAACAACAGCATGCAAGATGTGTCAGGGCATGAGAGTCTGTGAAATGACTTTCCTAGAGGTTTTGCTGCGTCCCATCCTGGGGGGACAGAAGGGCTGGCAGTTGGCTTTTTAGGGTCTTTACTATCATATGAAAAACATTCTTATATTTGCATTTGTAAAGGTTCCTGGTTTAACTGCGGTCTTGGTTGATCATTTTCCCAGGAGGCTTATTTTTTTTTAAACTCGTGCTTCAAAATGCTGATAATCTCTTTCTAACCTGTGCTCATTTTGTCCTGAATCCTATCCCCCCAGCCCTATGTGTGGCATTCTCTGCTTAAGTCAGTGTTTGGCAAACAGTAGTGATGACCGGAGAACATTAAAAACAACAGAAGCAACTTTATTGAAGTTTAATTAATGTAGAATAGATTGCAATATGTTTTGACATATATACATGACCATCACCACATACAATCAAGACTATAAACACCTACGTTATCCCTGGAAGTTTCCTCATGCTAGTTAGGGGTTATTTTTAGCTGCATTTTGCAGGAAGACTATCTTCCTGATTGGGGGTGGTGGTGATCAGAATAAAAAATTAATCCCCTTTGGGCAGAAACATGGGCTCCATGCCATTTCATGAACAATTCCATTCACCGTCCTATCTTCCTTTCCTCCCACAGCCCTGCAGGATTTAGGGAGTTGGTTCTGACTAACCATTACATCCCAATATTAGGTTGGCAGCAGTGGAAGTCATACATTGATGCAAAAGGTACAATGCCTCTTTCATGGCTTTTAATTATCCCCTTTTCTCTTCCCCACTAAAAATAAAAATAGCCATCATTTTTGATTGCCCACTAAATGCCAGGTACTGGTTTAAAAGCTCAACACATCATTTTCCACTCAATCTACTTGTCCAAGGTAGATACTTTTTTTCCACCTAATGGAGAAGTTAGTGAGTTGCCTAAGGCCCCTATGTAGAGTTGGTTAGCAGAGGTGCTGGCCTTTGAACCTTCCACTATTAACTGCAAGCAGCGCCTCTGTGTGCAGCAGTGCGGGTTGTGTACTACACAACTCCAGTGGGTCTCCATTCATGTGAATGCAATGGTCTGCTCCAAAGTCCTTTCTCTTTTCCTTTTATTACTTTGCCTACATAAATGAAACTGTTGTCTCTTCCTTCTAAATGAGCCAGGCAAGATGGAAACTGTTAGTGTGGAGGAATGTTCCCTGAGACAGACTGGCTGGCCATTAGGAACCTTGTAAGTTGTAATGTATTATAGTGAGTTCACCAAGGTCCAGAATCTGGCTCTCAATTTTGTACACAATTTGGCCCTTAACAGTGGTGAAATGGTTGGGTTGGGTTGTCCCCCAGGATAGAACACAGCCTAATGTCATTAAGTGTTCAGATGAAGTAGCTGGCTCTCTGTGTCGGGAGTCCATACTCTTCAAGCCACAGTAAAAGACTGTGGCCTTTTCGTGGGTCAGAGTTTTTCAGACTTGACCATCCTGACCCACACCAATTAAGCCACAATACTTAATGTACTCCAAGTATAGCAAGCAATCATGTTGGCAAGATCAGTGCATTCTTTCCTTAAAGACCACAGGAAGCAAGATGATCAGAAGGTGGCTTGAAGAGTATGGACTCCAGACACAGACAGCCAGCTACCTCATCTGAACACTTAATGACATTAGGCTGTGTTCTATCTTGGGGGACAACTCAGCCCAACTGTTCCACCACTGTTAAGGGCTGAATGGTGTACCTTTCCCCACACCCATTTACATGTTGAAGCCCCAGCTTCCAGTGTGAATGTATCTGGAGATAGGGTCATGAGGAGGTAATTAAGATTAAATAAGGCCCTAAGTGTGGAGTCCTGATCCTATAGGACTATGATCTTATAAAAATAGGAAGACCTCCTTTCTTCCCCAGCACATGAGAACATAGCAAGAAGGTGGAAATTTACAAGCCAGGAAGGGGGTCCTCAGCAGAGCCTAGCTATGCTGGCATCCTGATCCTGGACTTTCAGCCTGTAGAACCGTGAGTCTAAGTCCCCCTGAAGGCTCTGGTAATTTGTTATGGCAGCTTGAGGTGACTAAGATAACCATAGTTGTAACCCTGGCAGACTAAATTTTGTTCCTGCCTAAACTGGGACCTCGTCATCAGGGCAGTGCTTGAATGGGCTCACTCCCCTCTCCTGAGCTGCTCCCAAACCTGCTTTTCCTCCTGGGTTCCCCAGTTTGGCACCTGGCACCACTGCCTACCTACTCACTCAAGACAGAAACCTGACATCTTAGTCTGTGTAGTGCTGCTATAACAGGATACCTGAGGCTGGGTAATTTATAAAGAAAAGAGGTTTATTTAGCTCATGGTCCTGCAGGCTGGTAAGTATGAGAAGCATGGTGCTGGCATCTGTTTGGCTTCTGGTGAGGGCCACATTCTGTATCATAACATGGTGGAGAGGATCAAAGGGGAAACAGACGTGTGACGAAGAGGCAGCCCGAGGGACATCCTGGCTTTATAACAACCCACTCTCCAGGAAATGAATCCAGTCTCATCTGAGCTAGAACTCTAGAACTCACTTACTAGGCAAGAATGGCACCAAACCATTCATGAGGGATCAGACCCCATGACCCCAACTCCCACTAGGCCCACCTTCCAACGCTACCATAATGGGGATCAAATTTCAACATGAGGTCTGGGGATAAACTCAAACCATAGCACAGGGGAATCATGCTTGTTTTAGAGTTTTCTTTTTTCTTGCCCCTTTAGCTAATCTGCCACCAAGTCTTGCCATCTCCTCTGTCTCCATGTCTCTTCTTTCCATGCATCTATTACTACCCGAATTCAGACCACTTTCATCTCTTTCCTAAGGGGTTCCCAAGTCTCCTCTCTGCTCACCTATGATCTAATCTCTTCTCGGGGGCATCCAAATCAGTAAAGAGGAAGTCAAACTGTCGCTGTTTGCTGATAATATAATCGTATATAGGCTGGTAAGTATGAGAGGCATACTTGAAAACCCTAAAGATTCCTCCTAAAAGCTCCTAGAATTGATAAATGAATTCAGCAAAGTTTCAGGATACAAAATTAACGTACACAAATCAGTAGCTCTGCTATACACAAACAGCGACCACGCTGAGAATCAAATCAAGTACTCAACCCCTTTTACAGTAGCTGCAAAAAAATAAAATGCTTAGGAATATACCTAACTAAGGAGGTGAAAGACCTCTACAAGGAAAACTACAAAACACTGCTGAAAGAAATAATAGATGACACAAACAAATAGAAACACATCCCATGCTCATGGATGGGTAGAATCAATATTGTGAAAATGATGACCATACTGCCAAAAGCAAACTACAGATTCAATGGAATTCCCATCAGAATACCACCATCACTCTTCACAGAACTAGAAAAAACAATCCTAAAACTCATATGGAACCAAAAGAGAGACCACATAGCCAAAGCAAGACTAAGCAAAAATAACAAATCTGGAGGCATCGCATTACGTGATTTCAAAGTATACTGTAAGGCCATAGTCACCAAAACAGCTTGATGCTGGTATAAAAATAGCACATAGACCAATCGAACAGAATAGAGAACCCAGAAATAAAGCTAAATACTTACAGCCAACTGATCTTCAACAAAGCAAACAAAAACATAAAGTGGGGAAAGGACACCCTATTCAACAAATGGTGCTGAGATAATTGGCCAACCACCTGTAAAAGAATGAAGCTGGATCCTCATCTCTCATCTTACACAAAAATCAACTCAAGGTGGATCAAAGACTTAAATCTAAGACCTGAAACCATAAAAATTCTAGAAGATAACATTGAAAAAACCCTTCTAGACACTGGCTTAGGAAAAGACTTTATGACCAAGAACTCCAAAGCAAATGCAACAAAAACAAAGATAAATAGATTGTACTTAATTAAACTAAAAAGCTTCCGCATAGCAACAGAAACATCAGCAGAGTAAACAGACAACCCACAGAGTGGGAGAAAATCTTTGCAATCTATATATCTGACAAATAACTAATATCCAGAACCTAGAAGGAGCTTAAATAAATTAGCAAGAAAAAACAAACAATCCCACCAAAAAGTGGGCTAAGGACATGAATAGACAATTCTCAAAAGAAGATATACAAATGGCCAACAAACATATGAAAAATGCTCAACATCACTAATGATTAGGGAAATGCAAATCAAAACCACAGTGCAATACCACCTTACTCCCTCAAGAATGGCCATAATCAAAAAAATTAAAAAAAAATAGATGTTGGCAGGGTTGTGGTGAAAAGGGAACACTCTTACACTGCTGGTAGAAATGTAAACTAGTACAACCACCATGGAAAACAGTGTGGAGATTCCTTAAATAACTAAATGTAGAACTACTATTTGATCCAGCAATCCCACTACTGGGTATCTACCCAGAGGAAAATAAGTCATTATACAAAAAAGATACTTGCACTTGCATGCTTATAGCAGCACAATTCACAGTTGCAAAAATATGGAACCAGCTCAAATGCCCACCAATCAACAGGTGGATAAAGAAATTGTGGTATATATATATATATACACACATACACCATGGAATATACTCAGCCATAAGAAGGAACGAAGTAATAGCACTTGTGGCAACCTGGATAGAATGAGAGACCATTATTTTAAGTGAAGTAACTCAGGAATGGAAAACCAAACATCATATGTTCTCACTCATAAGTGGAAGCTAAGCTATGAGGATGTAAAGGCATAAGAATGCCTCAGCAGTCAGAGAACTGTTTTCTAAAAAGTAAATCTGGGCCAGGCATGGTGACTCATGCCTGTAATCCTAACAATTTTGGAGGCCTAGGTGGGAGGATTGCTTGAGCCCAGAAGTTTGAGAGCAGCCTGGGCAACATAGCAAGACCCCATCTCTACAAAAAATAAAAATAAAAAAATTAGCCAGGTGGGGTGGTGGGCACCTGTGGTCCCAGCTACTAAGGAGGCTGAGGCAGGAGGATTATGTGAGCCCAGGAGTTCAAGGTTGCAGTGAGCTATGATTGTGCCACTGCACTCCAGCCTGGGTGACAGAGCAAGACCCCATCTCTAAAATGAATAATAAAATAAAGAAAAATATAAAATAAATAAAATAAATCTGACTGTGTTACTCCAAAACCCAAACTTCTTAATGCAGACTTCAAAGCCACACAAGATCTTGACCTTTCTTCTCCCTGGTCTCTCTCTCCTCAGTTATGCTCCGGTCTTGCTGAATTCTGTCTGACCATTTGCTGGCCCTGTTGTGTTCAGTCTCAGAAAGTTGACACACACTGGTCTCTCTGCTTAGAATACTCTTCTTCTTTTTATATTTATACTTATAGTTTTATTTATTTTCATTTTGGTAAGAACACTTAACAAGAAGTCTACCCTCTTAACAAAATTTTAAGTGTAGAATATAGTGTTGTTGACTGTAGGAGCAATTTGTACACCAGATGTGGATGTATTCACCTTGCAGAGCTGAAACTCTGTACCTCACCCCCAAGCCCACCCTGCCCTGTCCTGCCTAACTCCTATCGCTTTCTGGCTCCCGGGGCTCCATGTGCTTCTCTATTATGGTCCACATCCTGCTTCATGATGGTCGCTGGCTTAATTATGTTAAAGGAAAACTTTAGACAAATTAACTTTAACAGAGTTTAATTTAGAAAAGAATGATTCGAAAATTTGGCAGTCCCCAGAACCAGAATAGGCTCAGAGCCACTCTGGGGCTGCCACATAGTCGGATCCATTTATGGACAGAAAAAGAAAAGTCCAGAAAACGGAAGTGAGGTGCAGAAATAACTGGATCGGTTGCAGCTCAGCATTTGCCTTATTTGAATACAGTTTGAATGGTTGGCCACCTGTGATTGGCCAAAACTGTGTGACTGGTACAAGAGCAGGTTACAGTCTATTGACACATCTAGTTAGGTTACAGTTCACTACGTACGGAGAGACCTTTAGGCTGAACTTAAAATATGTAAGAAGGCAGCTTTAAACTAAATGTGGTTTAATGATTATCTGTCTTCCGTTCTGGCTGTAAGCCCCTTCAAGGTAGGGGTCCTGACTTTCATCCTCATGGCTGTAACTTTAGCATCTAGCAGTCAGCCAAGCATATAAGAGGTACTTAATGAACGTTGGTTGAGTGAGTTTACCTCTCTGGCTCTCCTTTCTATGTTCCTATTTCTGAATATTCCCTTTTCAACTTACATTCTTTTCTTAGATATGCTATGGAATAAAACAAATGATAGTACTAGCTTCTCTGTTTCAGGAGCCATTCTATTTTTTCAGGTGACTTGTTACCTTGCTTCTGTGTATTATGTGTGGGTTTATACTTTGACTCAAAGGGGAAGCTGAGCACCCAGTCCAGGTTTTGAGAAGCTACATTATTGCCTTCTGAAGCCTACAGGAACATTAACTCATTCTCCAGGGCAGCATCGTTTTCTCAAAGGTGCCATCCCATGAAAGCACTGTCTAACTATCACTAAACTAATATTTAATGCCAAATGTAACCAGAATGCATTGTACTCTAAATTGCGAATAAGGCGTGAGGACTCTGGGTCATCTTAAGCATCACTAAGGGCAGGTTGGGTTATGCTGTGATCACAAAATCTAGTGATTTGTCACCACAGATTTAGTGATTTGAAACAAAGGTTTATTTCTTGCTTATGCTACTTGTTCATTAGGGTTGGTGGAAGCCTCTGTTCCATGTCACTCACTCAGGGACAAGGTAGACAGAGCCTTAGTCTTCTGGAGCATCACTGGGTGACAGCAACAAGGGAAGTGGGAAAATGGAAAACTGTTCACCATCTCTTAAATGCTTCCACTTAGAAATGACACACATTATTTTCATTCACATTTTACTGACCAAATTGAGTCATATAAGGGGCAGGGAGGTGTAATCCTGCTATGTGCCAGGAAGGAGGAGAACTAGAGATACTGGGAAACAATACTGATGTTTAATTGCTGTAAAAATGGAGACAAAAACAACCCACAAAACACATAGACAATTTCAAAATTGATGTAATTGCTTTGCCCAGTTCAACAATGATGGTAAGATAAAAGAAGACACAGGTTTCATAGCAGATGTGCTCTGGTGGAAGGCCGGGCACACCATGATGGAGGAAAGGTCAGGTTTGGGTAGCAAGAGCCAGAAAAGGAGTTCAGTTGGGAGGCTCTGAGAAAGAAGGAAGCAGCAGGGACACAAGGCGAGAAGAGCCAGGAGGTAAGGGATCCGGGCAAGGTCTCGGCCGCCTTCCGCTGCCACGCTCAGGTGAGCAACCTTTCAACTGATTGCTTGTGAGTGTGCTCTCACCTCTCCCACCTCGTGGTGTCTTAAAGCTGCCTCCCAGATGCTGATAACTCAGTCAGGTTAATGACAGCCACGCTTGGAAAATGGTCTCAAGTCCGGGGAGCTGGTGTAAGGTGAGGAGGTCTCAGAGCATCCAGTGTGGGACTTACAGTATCAGTCAGGAGACAAACCATCCCAGTTCATGTAAGAGAGGACATTTAATATAAAGCATCATCTACTTAAGGAACTGAAAAGGCAAAAAGGGAACGCTAAGGGAACACGGAGGTGGTAGCTGCAGGAAGCACTCACACTCCTAGGTTTGGGCTGCAAAGGAAGAGGTTGGAAGTTTAGAGAAAGGGGTGCTGCTCAACTGGTGCTTGTGTCCCTGGGCTCAGAGGAGGTGCCCTGTGGACCTGGGACCCACATCTCTTGAGGAGGGAGCCCTGCTGGCTGGTGCTGGTGTCTCTGAGGCAGCGTGATAAGACTGGTCATTCAAGTGTTGGAAAAACTGCAAACTGGATTCAGCTGCTGCTGTTGCAAGTAACTGCTGCTGCCGATGTAAAGCAGCAGAGCTGGGTGATACTCAGAAATAAGAAGCTGCCAGGAAAGAGCACATCCCCTTTCCCTCCTCCAGCCTTGAAGATTCCCTCTTAGTGTCCTCTATTACCAAAGCCTAATGGCAAAGTACAGTTTCAGCCCCAGCATCACAGAGCAGGGAAAGAAAAGTGATTTTGGCTGGGCGCGGTGGCTCACGGCTGTAATCCCGGCACTTTGAGAGGCTGAGGTGGGTGGATCGCCTGAGGTCAGGAGTTCGAGGCTAGCCTGGCCCAACATGGTGAAACCCCGTCTCTACTAAAAATACAAAAATTAGCCAGGCATGGTGGGCAAGCCTGTAATCCCAGCTACTCGGAAGGCTGAGGCAGGAGAATCGCTTGAACCCGGGAGGCGGACGTTGCAGTGAGCTGAGATCATGCCATTGCACTCCAGCCTAGGCTACAAGAGCGAAACTCTGTCTCCAAAAAAAAAAAAAAAAAAAAGAAAAGAAAAGTGATTTTGAAGCTGAGAGACAACAGCGTACTGACCGGCACAGAAGAAGGAAGATTTGTTTAAGAAACTTTGAAGCAGTAAATATTTAATTCAGGTTGAACATTCCTAACCCAGAAATCTGAAATCCAAAATTCCCACAAATTCAAAACTTTTTTGAGCCCTGATATGATACTCAGAAGCCCTGCTCAAAGAAACTGCTAATTGAGGCACTTCAGATTTCCGATTTTCAAATTAAGGACGCGTCACCGGTAAGTATAATGCAAATAAATATTCCAGAATCTGAAAAAAATGTGAAATCCAAAATGCTTCTGGTCCCACGCATTTTGGATAAGGGATATTCAACCTGTATTAGCAAATTCTTCCTTTGTGGAAGATTCCATTGTGGTTAGAGAATGAACTGTATAATTTATTATTTTGCATTTGTTGAGGTTTGCATCATGCCCCAGGATATGGTTTGTCTTGGGATATGTTCCATAAGCACTTGAAGAAAATGTGTATTCTTCTTCTGTTGGCTGGAGTGGAATCTAAATGTCAGTTTGATTCCGCCGGATATAGCATTGTTGAGTTCTTCTATAATCTTGCTGATTTTCTCTCTTGTTTTATCAATAGTGGCGAGAGGGATGTTGAACACTCCAGTTGTAATTGTGGATTTTTCTATTTCTCCTTTTCATTCTATTAGTTTTTGCTTCACATATTTTGCGGCTCTGTTGTTTGGTGTGTACACATTTAGAATTGCTATGTCTTCTTGCTGGATTGACCCTTTATCATTATGGTATATCCCTGTCTGTCCCTGGTAATTTTCTTTGCTTCGAAGTTTACTTTATCTGATAATAGTATAGCCAATCCTGTATTTTTTGGATTAATGTTTTCACTGCCCAGTCAGCCCTCTGTATCAGCTGGTTCCACACTGTGAATTTAAGCAACCACAAAGATTGAAAATATTTGAAAAAAAATAATGACACAACAATAAAAATAATACAAATTTTAAAATACAGTATAACAGCTATTTACATTGCATTTACAGTGTATTAAGTGTTGTAAATAACCTAGAGATGATTTAAAGTACAGGGAAGGGTGTACATAGATTATATGTAAATAGTATGCTATTTTATGTAAGGAACTTGAGCATACAAGGATTTTGGTATACTCAGGGGGTCCTGAAAGTAATATCCCCCACAGGGATGACTATATATCCTTGTCTACCCTTTTACTTTCAAACTGTCTAGATGGTCATATTTGAAGTATTTTCTGGTAGACAGAATGCTGATTTTATTTTTTTTTTAATTTTTTTTTTTTAATTTTTTAAACTAGAGATGAGGTCTTGCTATGTTGCCCAGCCTGGTCTCAAACTCCTGGGCTCAAGTGATCCTCCTGCCTTAGCCTTTCAAACTGTTGGTATTAGAAGTGTGAGCTACCACAGCTGGCCAACAGCATACTGTTGAGTAATGGGTTTAATCCCTCTGCCAAGCTCTATTTTTTTTTTGATATTATATGTACCAGGTACAAAGCGATGTTATAATAAATGTATAGAGTGTGAAATGAGTGACTCAAGCTAATTAATATATCAATCACCATAAATACATTTTATTTGTTCCTCCTGTCTAACTACAACTTTGTACTCTTTGATCAACATGTCCCCAATTTCTGTCTTTTAATTGGTGTATTTAGACCATTTACACTGAGTGTGATTGTTGATACAATACAGCTTAAATTTGCCATTTTGTTTTATTTTTTCTCTTTGCTTCCTGTCTTTAATTTATTGGTTTCCTTTTTTCTCCCTTCCTGTGATTTTCTTGAACATTTTTTAGAATTCCATTTTGTTTTATCTGCTTTTATAGTGGTTGGTCCAGGTATTATGTTATATATACATAATTTATCATTATCTATTGTTGTCAACATTTTACCAGTTCAAGTGAAGTATAGAACCCTTAACTCTCCTTACGTTCCTTTACCCTCTCTCTCCCACTTATAATGTTGTCTTAACTCTTTCTTCTAGATATGCTTAGAAAAACATCAGACAATTTTTGCTTCAACCATTAAATATAACTTAGACAACTCAAGAGGAGAAGGAAAGTCTATTGAATTTACCACTGTGTTTGCTCTTTCTGTTGTTCTTTTTGCCATTGTGATGTTTTAAATTCCTTTTAAAACAAAAACACTGCCTTTAAAATTTTTTTAAAAGAACTTCCTTTAGGCTGGGCACCATGGCTCATGTCTGTAATTCCAGCACTTTCGGAGGCTGAGGTGGGAGGATTGCTTGAGCCTAGGAGTTCAAGACCAGCCTGGGCAAGATAGTGAGACCCCATCTCTACAAAAAATAAAAATGAGCCAGGCATGGCAGTGTGCACCTGTGGTCCCAGTTACTTGAGAGGCTGAGGTGGGAATATCACTTGAACCCTGGAAGTCAAGGCTGCAGGAGCTGTGATCATGCCAGTCAGTGAACTCCAGTCTGGGTGACAGAGTAAGACCCTGTCTCCCCACCTCCCCACCCCCCTCCCAAAAAAAGACCTGGCCTGCTAGCAAGAAATTCCCTTAGTTTTCTTTTATCTGAGAGTGTCTTGATTTCTCCTTCATTCCTAAAGGGTATTTTCTCTAGATATGGAATTCTGAGTTGACAGTTGTTTTCTTTCGACACATGAAAAATGCCGTAACAGTTTTCCTTCTGGCCTCTTGGTTTCTTTTGTGAAATCTGTTGTCACTTGCATTTTTTTCCCCGATACCTGTCACTTCTCTCTTGCTGCTGTTCAAGATGTTTTTTCTTTGTCTTTACTTTTCACAAGTTCAAATATGACGTGCCTTGTTGTGGATTTCTTTTGATTATTATTTGGGGTTTACAAAACTTGAATCTGTGAGTTATATCTTTTGTCAAATTTGGGAAATTTTCAATCATTATTTCTTTGAGTACTTTTTCAGTCCAGTTCTCTTTCTCCTCCCCTTCTGGAACTCTGATGAAACAAATATTAGCTCTTTTGTTATAGTATTATGTTTTCATTAAGCTCTTTTTCTTTTTGTATTTAAAAATTTTAATTATGAATTCAGTGCCCCAATGGTGCTTAGAGGCTAAAAGGTAGACTCTGCCCCGACTTCTGTGGGATACTGGCCAAGTGACCATTTCTCTCTGATGCTAATGTCCCATGTCAATGAAAAGAGCCAAACTCTATTACATATTTGAAGGGATCTATTCTGAGCCAAATATGAGTGACCATGGCCCACAGCACAGTCTCAACGGGTCCTAAGAGCATGTGCTCAAGGTGGCTGGGTCACAGCTTTGTTTTATACAGTTTAGGAAGACATTAGACATTAGTCAGTACATGTGAGGTATACATTGGTTCATTCCAGAAAGGCAGGACAACTCCAAGTGGGTGGGGATTGGTGGAGGATGTTGGGGAGGACTTAGAGGTCATAGGTAGATTCAAAGATTTTCTGATTGGCAATTGACTGAAAGAATTAAGTTATTATCTAAAAACCTGGGATCAATAGAAAGGAGTGTCTGGATTAAGATAAGGGGTTGAGGAGACCAAGGTTCTTATTATGTAGGTGAAGTCTCCTACATGGTCACCCTTAGAGACAGCAGATGGCAAATTTTTTTTTTTTTTTTTTTTTGGAGACAGAGTCTCACTCTGTCATCCAGGGTGGAGTGCAGTGGCACAATCTCAGCTCACTGCAAGCTCCACTTCCCAGGTTCACGCCATTCTCCTGCCTCAGCCTCCCGAGTAGCTGGGACTACAGGCGCCCACTACCACGCCCAGCTAATTTTTATTTTTGTATTTTTAGTAGAGATGGGGTTTCACCGTGTTAGCCAGGATGGTCTTGATCTCCTGACCTCGTGATCCTCCCACCTCGGCCTCCCAAAGTGCTGGGATTACAGGCATGAGCCACTGCGCCTGGCCGATGGCAAATGTTTCTTACCTTTAAAAGGTTCTAGACTTTCAGTTAATTTCTTTAGAATTGGGAGGGCCTGGAAACGGAGCGATCTAGTTATATTAACAGAAATTCTTTACAGATGCAAATTTCCCCCCCACAAAAAGATGGCTTTGCAGAGCCATTTCAAAATATGGCAAAGAAACATATTTTGGGGTAAAATATTTTGATTTCTTTCTTTATCTGTTGTGTTATGTTATGCCAGAATCAGGTTTGAAAGTAAGCCATGTTGTAAATAGGGTTAAATAAAACCCATCTGATGAGATTTTATGGTTTGTAGCCCCAGGGTACTTAGACAGGAATTTTGGCAAGAGAGAAAAAGGTCGGAGTTTACATGCCCTAACCTGGGAATTAGGATCCACTGATGGAAGAAATGCAGGCTCTGCAAACAGAACATCCTTTTCTTTCCTTCTTGCTTCCCTTTGCCATTGACTCTGGCCCTGTCCCTTATTATTTGCCCCTTCCCTTTGATGTTCCTTTTCTTCTTATCCAATTTTCATACTTTTTCCCCCTTTTTTCTTGTTTTTCTGGCTTTACCTGTAGGAACAAAGTGTCAGATAAGCCTCAGAGATGGCATCTTTTTGTCCTCAGGGAGTGATGGGAATTTAAAAGGAAGCATTTCTGTTGGGATACTTATGTGTGTTCTTCCCAGTGTATTTCAGGGTGCGTCTTTCCTTGCAGATTTTTTTTTCTTTTTTTTTTTTTTTTTTTTTTTTTTTTTTTTTTTTTTTTTTGAGACAGGGTCTCACTCTGTCACCCAGGCTGGGATGCAGTGGTGTGATCTTGGCTCACTGCAACCTCCGCCTTCCCGGATTAAAGCGATTCTCCTATCTCAGCCTCCCGAGTAGCTGGGGTTACAGGTGTGTGCCACCAAGCCTGGCTAATTTTTGTATTTTTAGTAGAGATGGGGTTTCGTCATGTTGGTCAGGGTGGTCTCGAACTCTCAGCCTCATGCGATCTGCCCGCCTCAGCCTCCCAAAGTGCTGGGATTACTGGCGTGAGCCACCGCGCCTGGTCTCCTTGCAGATTCTTAAATGAGGTGGAGGGAGAGGGTGTTTTACAGGTAACTCTGTTGAATATTGCCACCTTGTGGAGTGAGTGGGAAATGCAGATAAGACAAGGAGACTCAAGGACAGAGGGATGTTTGAAAATACGGTAAAGAGGTCCCCTGAGTAAATGGCCCTTCCTGGATGATGAATTTCTTTTCTTGATGTTGTATAATCATTTTAACCAGTTTGTGATGCTGACTGATGTGCATCCTTTGGAAGGAGAGTGCTGTGAGAAGCATGGAAAGTAGACTTTGGAGTTCTAGAGAATTAGGATTGAACCTCAGCTGAGCTTGGTAGGAGCTGTGTGAACTTGAGAAAGTCACCTAACATCTCTGAGCCTCCAGGGTAATTCTGAGAAGGGCCAGTATGGAGAAGATGCCCTGGAAATGTTAATTTCCTTCCTCCAGTGATGAAGGAAGGAGGACCCACGTGTGAGGGCTTCCATCTGGGTCTGGGAGGTGTGGCTGCAAGTGGACGCATTGAGTCAGGGGAGGAGGGAAACTGATATTTACTGAGGTGTATAAAGTACCAGGTGCTGTGCTATGTACTTACATGATTTCCTTTGGCCTTCCTGACACTGTGCAAAAGGTACTGTTATCTTCACTTTATAGGTGGTAAAATGGATGCTTGGGGATGTTGAGCAGCATATCATGCAGCTGGTCAGCAGTGAATGTGGCAAACCAGGTTACGAACTCAGTTCCGCCTTTTACTTTTGGTTTTATTTTTTTCCCTGTGTCACATTCATCTGATTAGTGTTAGCAAAATAGTGCAGTGTTCTGTTGAATTCGTCCTGGTTTCCTTCTAGGTTATCCCAGGGCATCCGTTTTAGAGGCTGCTAAGGGTGAAGGTGAAGGGCGAATAGTGTGGCTCCTGCCTATCAGGTTCCACTTTTTTCTCCACTGTCCACTGGGAGGGTGAAGTAGGGGCTGTCTTCAGAGATGTGAGTACTGGGGTGAAGTGGGAAGACTGGGGCCTGAGAAGCTAGGCTGAGCTGAATGGAGAAGCTGGAAAGGGTGAGAGCCTGAGGGAAGCTTGTCTGACTAGGGAAGGCTTTTTGGGGATATTCCTGGGGATCTGTAGAGGAATGCTTCTGTGTGAGGGGTGGCCTGGGAGATACTGGTAACCTAAAAATGTTGGGAGTACTGTGATCTAGGTGGTTAGGAGACTTTAACTGTGCTGGGGGATTTTGGAACCACAGTTGTCCTTGACTATGGTCAGTTGACTGTATATTTGGGGACATCACACTGGCTGGGGAGACCTGGGGAAAACTCTTAGGTTGGAGGATGGGTTGGTTACAGGGGCATTGGTGGAGCAAGAATAGTTGGGGGAGTGGAAGGAGCAGGAGTCAGAAGAGAAACACAGACTATCTCTTATATCTGGGTGTTACTTGCTAGTTTAAGAATGTTCTTTTGCATGCATCATTTGAACTATCAGGTAACCATCCACGTGCTCTGAGTTTACTATGAGCCTGACTCTGCAAGGCACAGGGATTCAAATAAGGAAGGAGATGGACACATTCTGTTCTCCTAGAACTTGTAGCTGTCATTACAACTATGTGAAGTGGGCAGATCAAGTATTATTGCATTTTCCAGATGGAAAAACAATGGCTCAGTGAGGTTAGGTGACTTGCCTGCTAGTGTATGGCCAGCTGGGAACTCAATGTAGATTTATTGGTCAGGGAACCAGGGCTCCTGTTACTGCCCAGTGGGTTCTTCTTGCCCACTGCCTAGACAGAGCTGATTTATGAAGACAGGGGCATTGCAGTAGAGAAAGAGTTTAATGCATGAAGAGCTGGCTAAATGGGAGAATGGAGTTTTATTATTCAAATCAGCCTCCCTGAAAATTCAGAGGCTAGGGTTTTTTTGTTTGTTTGTTTGTTTGTTTTGAGACGGAGTTTCGCTCTTGTTGCCCAGGCTGGAGTGCAATGGCACGATCTTGGCTCACTGCAACCTCTGCCTCCTGGGTTCAAGCGATTCTCCTGCCTCAGCCTCCCAAGTATCTGGAATTACAGGCATGCATCACCATGCCTGGCTAATTTTTTGTATTTTTAGTAGAGATGGGGCTTCTCCATGTTGGCCAGGCTGATCTCGAACTCCCAACGTCAGGTGATCCGCCCGCCTCGGCCTCCCAAAGTGCTGGGATTACAGGTGTCAGCCACCATGACCGGCCGAGGCTAGGGTTATTTTAAAGACAGTTTGGCAGGCAGGGGACTAGGGAATGGTGAATACTGATTGGTTGGGTTGGAGATGAAATAAAAGGGAGCTGAGTCAGTTCCTGGGTGGGGGGCACAAGACCAGATGAGCCAGTTTACTGGCCTAGGTGATACCAGCTGGTCCATCAGAATGTAGGGTCTAAAAAATACCCCAAACATGAATCTTAGGTTTTACAATAGTAGTGTTATCCATAGGAACAACTGGGGAGGTTAGGAATCTTGTGACCTCTGGCTGAATGACTCCTGAGCCATAATTTCTAATCTTGTGGCTAATTTGTTAGTTTTACAAAGGCAGTCTGGTCCCCAAGCAAGGAGGAATTTTGTTTTGGGGAGGGGCCGTTAACATCTTTGTTTGAAAGTTAAACTATAAACTAAATCCCTCCCAAAGTTAGTTCAGCCTACACCCAGGAATGGACAAGGACAGCTTGGAGGTTGGAAGCAAGATGGAGTCAGTTAGGTCAGATTTCTTTCACCATCATAATTTTCCTATGTCAGATTTTTTGTCACTGTCATGATTTTTGCAAAGGTGGTTTCACTCCTTCTGGCACTTCATGCAGACTCTAACAGCATTTGGATCTGTTGTGAGTTTCATAGTGGAAATATTCTTAGTTCAGAGACAGTTGCAAGGGGCTCCTCCTGCAGTGTGTGTTAACACCATGGATCCACGTCCTCTCACAGCCTGGGGGATGAGCAGTGGACCGTGGCTGGGAGAAGTGGATGCGAGTGAGTCCCTTCTGATCCTTTGCTGAATTCCCTTCCATCACATTCGAACAGCCTTTCTGCAATGCCCCACGGTCCTGCAAATAAACCAGCTGCTCTTTGTTGTTCCTCTCTTTATGTATGAGCGATGATTTTCTGAAGCTGGTAGTTTGGTACAGTAATGGATTGATTGAAATCATCAAGAGGAAAATAACTAATTCATTTACTGAAATTATAATTACAAAATTACCTGTATATTTACATGTAACTCAAACATAAACATAGTCGACCTTAGCCAACTCCTTAACCTTAGCAGGCTCCTGTGCCTTTCGCTTCTGCTGCCATTCCTTATACATTTTCATCAGCTTCTTACCATGCTGTCAGTTTTCATTGTTGCCATTGACTCTGCCACTAACTCGGCATTCCCTGGACCTCAGTTCCTTATCTCTAAATGCTGAAAGTGGACTAAATGGTCTGTGAAAGCCCTTCTGGTTTGAATATCGATGCACATATGCCTCTGTGATATACCTGTTGACTTAGTTTGTGTCTCCCCTGCAGCAAACTCTGAGAGAAGAATTTGAATGCAAGTATTTTATTTGGGAGGTGATCGGGAAGTACCCATAGAGGAGTGAGGAGGTGAAACAGGAATGGGAAGGAAGATAATACAGAATTAATTATCAAGCAAGCTGCTACTGTGGGCAACTGGAGCTTAGAATAGCGTGGGGAAAGGAGGGAGCAGGAGTCAGAAAAGAAACACAGACTATCTCTTAAATCTGGGTGGTACTTGCTAGTTTAAAAATGTTGGTCAGGGACCAGTGCTCCTGTGGGAGCCCAATAGGTTCTTCTTGCCCACTGCCCAGATAGAGCTTATTTATGAAGACAGGGGAATTGCAGTTGTCCTGCTGGGGGATTCTGGGAGACAGTGTAGACACACCACAGAGTTATTTCTATCAAGGGGTGAGGAAGTTGGGGTATTTTTCCCCTGGCCCCCCCATCTGTCCCTGGCTGGAGGGCACTTCTGGGGCATTCCCTTCGGGTGTTTCTGATGTTCACTGGGGAGATGAGCAGGCTCCTAGGGTCAGGGAAAAATCTCAAGCAGAGAGCCATAAGTGTTTGTCATTTTTGATGTATAGACAAAGTGTGGTAGGCCGGGTCTCACTAACGCAGGCCTCCATTACAGCTGTCCCAGCACTGACTCAGTAGCTCCGTTAAACATGAAAAGCTGATCGAGCCAGTGCCCTTATACAAAGGCTGGAATGTCACAAAAGTCCACCAAGAGTTTGCCTAGGCCTTTCCTGGACCTTGAAGCATGACAAGATAATGAAGGAATTCTTAACAGGACCCGTTTAGGATTAAACAAGTTTTACTGGGGGGTCTGAAGAAACTCCCCAGGCCTCCACAAACAAGTTTATCGGGGTCTAAAGGAGCTCCCCAAACCTTTATGATTTAGCAGGAGACAAGATAAGGGTAATCACCCCAGCACCTGGACCCATTTAGATTAAATAAACTTACTGAGGCTCCAGGAGAAGGTCTTCAGGACTCAGACCTTAGTTACAGATGAAAAGAAGTTAATCACTTACGTCTTTAGATGAGTGCACACTGACACGTAGACATGTAGCTTAGAGGGTATATAAGCTCTGGAAAACTTTGTAATTTGAGTTGGTCTGGCGATATTTTCCAGGCCTTCTCCCTGTAACCGGTTACAGAAATAAAAAACTCTTTTCCTCTCCAGTTCATCTGCATCTTGTTATTGGGCCATGAGAAATGGTAGCCTGACTCTCATTTTGGTCTGGGAACAAAAGTGTCTGCAGTGTTTGTACAAGTGTTTGCAGTGTGTGGTGTATAGAGGTTAAGTGGCCAATGAGCAGGGTATTGACAGTGCCTGCTACGCTTTTTTTCCCCTTTTAAATTATTGCTTGTCTATGGATCTTTGGTTTTGAAAAACTAGACCTACCTTTTTTTGCCATTAGCACAGTCTAGTCCTGTTTCACTTGGCATATATCTCTACACCTTGTAGGAAGGAAAGATTTAGATTTCTTAAAGCGTTGCATTTTAACAGAGAAGCCATAGCTTACGGGATCACCCTAAACACTATACATCCTGAGATAAGCAGAGGTATTTACATTTTGTCAAAAGGATCCGAGCATTATAGAATCAAAATTGTTGACTGCTGTGTAATAATTTGAGCTACGGGCTGGGCGCGGTGGCTCACGCCTGTAATCCCAGCACTTTGGGAGGCTGAGGTGGGCGCATCACGTGAGGTCAGGAGTTCGAGACCAGCCTGGCCAACGTGGCAGAACCCCATCTCCACTAAAAATACAAAAAAAATCAGCTGGACTTGGTGGCAGGTGCCTGTAATCCCAGCTACTAAGGAGGCTGAGGCAGAGAGAATTGCTTGAACCCGGGAGGCAGAGGATGCAGTGAGCCGAGACTCCATTTCAATAATAATAATAATAATTAATAATAATACATTTGAGCTACGAATAGAATACAGTGTTCTCTCTTTGCCCTGGAATCACAGGCATTCTTGAAAGCCCCACTTCCCTGCCTGATGCCCGATTGCAAATGAAGTATCTTTCCTCAGCATTCAGTAATTGTCTCTGCATTGTTCTTTGAGAGGATGGAGCTGAGATTTTCTCCTGTAGGAAATGCCTGGAGCCTGGATGAATGTGTTAAATGGGCAGAATGTGAACAAGAGCAGCTTCTCCTCAGGCTCTATTCTCACAGGGTGGTGTTTGTTTACTTTGGAGAAGAAGCAGGTCATGTCTTCTATGACGGGAACTGAGATTTGTAGGTGGTATAAGAGCCATGCTGAATACAGGACTAGTTATGCCTCACTACTGAGGCAAGGTTCTCCTGAGTACTCTGCCTCACAGGCTTTAGCCTGTGAATTATGAGGTTTTCTGGAGGGAACGGGCACTGGGAATCAGGCCGGAGGGAACAGGCACTATTCCCAGCCCTATGTGAGTGCTGGGTACTGTTCGTTCTAATCCTTCTAGGTGATTCCCTCCCCAGCCTTGGGTGGTTTCCTCCCTGCATGCACTGGTCAGTTCTCTGCTGAGTACTCAAGGGGGATACCCTTGAAGGTCTCCCACAGTTTTATCTCCACACAGCTCTCTCTTCTCCAGTAGTTTGTCTTGTAAACGCTGGCTGCATTGTTCTCCCCAAATTCTCTGAGTTTTGTCTCCTCAACTCAAGAAATCCTCTGTGCACTGCCTGGATGCCCTCTTTTTGGTTTCTGCCTGGACATTCTCCCAAGGCAGTAAGGTGGGACAATCATAGGTCTCATCTCGGGGGTCAATCACTGGCCTTTATTTTCTGATGTCCACTATCATGACATAATTATTTTCATTTGTTCCATCTGGATTTTCATTGTTTCAGGTGGGAGGATAAACCCAGCCTATATTACATCCTATTTTCTAGAAATGGAAGTCTCTATTCTTAAACAAAGGCTTATTTAGTAATATGTTATTTCAATTTCCTTTCATTACTTTTTGTTCTCTACCCAACCTCAGCTACTCACTCTATGGCCATGCTGCAAATCTTCCTTAATTTCAGTGTCCAGGCATTCTGCTCTTTGGCCACCACACCCCAACTCGCCAGCAGGTTTCCTGCAATCCCCAACTTCAGACAACCCTTCAACCCCCAAGTAACCCCAAGTGCACAGATCCTGCCTCTCCCGTCCCTCCCATCATTCTCCCGCTTCATGCTTCTCATAGTCCTCACTCTCTTGCATACACTCAGATATTTTGCTCTTCTTTTGCTTTGTAGTATTCTCAGGGCGAAGCTTGAGCCTTAGTGATATATACTCCTCTGTCTCTTGTGCCTATGTTCACATAGCCAAAGGTGGCAGGAAAAATACACAAAATGATGCTGGTTGGTCTCACTGTAAATTCATTACTACAAACTTCAGTGGAACAGTTACTCCTGCTCAGTAATCCCATCCTGTTTCCATAATCCATTCATTCTCACTTTTGTAGGTGATATTTTACAAATGTTTTCTATATTTTTTAAGCTCCCTGATCTAACCTGTAACACTACCTCCTCCACTCATACACTGAAAGACCTTGCTTTCTATTTCTATGAGACAATGAAAGTGACTAGCAGAGAACTTCCACAGCACCCACCGCCACGTCTACCCTCCTGTACCTGCACCCTCATGCTCGGTCATCCTTCCTGCTTCTGCAATTTACATTTCAGCCTCCTAAATTTGGCCATCTCTGGCATGCTACCTTACCTCCTTGCCTTCACTCCAGGCATTGCTTCTGCAATTCTCCATTTCCTGAACACTTCTTAGGTCTTCATTATGCCTGTAATCCTAGCACTTTGGGAGGCCGAAGTGGGTGGATTGCTTGAGCCCAGGAGTTTCAGGCCAGCCTGGGTAATATAGTGAGACCCTGTCTCTACAAAAATAAAAAAAAATAGCCAGGACTGGGCACAGTGGCTCATGCCTGTAATCCCAGCACTTTGGGAAGCCGAGGCAGGCAGATCACTTGACGTCAGGAGTTCAAGACCAGCCTGGCCAACATGGTGAAACCCCATCTCTCAAAAATTAGCTGAGCATGGTAGCACATGCCTGTAATCCCAGCAACTCAGGAGGCTGAGGCAGGAGAATCACTTGAACCCTGGAGGCGGAGGTTGCAGTGAGCCGATATCACACCACTGCACTCCAGCCTGGGTGACAGAGCAAGACTGTCTCAAAAAAAAAAAAAAAAATTAGCCTGGTGTGACTAATGCCTGTAGCACATGCCTGTAGTTCCAGCTACTTGGGAGGCTGAGGTGGAAGGATCACTTGAGCCCAGGAGTTCAAGGTTGCGGTGAGCTATGATCACGCCACTGTACTCCAGCCTAGGGGAAAAGAAACCCCACACAACTTCTATCTCCTTTATTTTTGTCTGCTTTTATCTCGATCTACTTTTTAAATTCGCTGGTTCATTTTTCAGCTCAATCTATTCTTCTATTTAACCCATCTATTTTAATTTTTATTTCAACTGTTGTGATAATCAAATCTAATACTTCTACAGTGTTCCTTCTTATTTTCAATTACTGTTTTGCATTACTAACATCCTTACATGTCTTATTACTTTTATGCTTAGTTTTTAAAAAAACCCTTAGCTCGTGTGTTCCAACATTTGTGTTTCAGATGAGTATATATTTCTTCAGTTTGTTGACTTTCTTTTGAGATACTTGTAACTCTCACTTGTCTGGTTATTTTTGCCTCTGAGCTCATGCTCCATTGGAGATATTAGATACTCTGGTAATGTACATTTTAAAGTGTTTTTTATTTGCATTTTGAGTTTTGAATTAATTGCCTTGTAATCAGAAAATGTGAACTATTTCATAGATATTCTTTGAAATTTATAGAGACTGGCTTTATGGCCTCCATAATATGTGGTCAATTTTTGTAATAGTTCCACATGAGATTGAAAAGAATGTCTATTTTCTAATTGTTGGGGAAAGCATTTTTATAAATGTCCATTCGATTAAGCTTATTAATGTATTGTTCAAATTTTCTATAACTTTACTTATATTTGGCTGTTCCATCTTTTTCAGTAACTGAGAAACATGCGTTAAGATATCTCACTATGATGCAGAGTTTATTAATTCAGTCAATTTTTGTTTGATATATTTTAAAGAAAGGTTATTAGTTACATACAAATGCAGAATTGTTCTGTTTTTCTGATAATTGGAAATTTTATCACTGGATAAGTTACCTTTTAAAAAATCTCTGATAATGCTTTTTATCTGTTAGATTGTATTTTCACTGATGTTAACCTAGAGCTACGTATCAGTTCTATCATTAATATATGCATAGCTTATCTGTTCCCAATCTTTTACTTTCAAATTGTCTGTGTTCTTATATTTTAGGTGTGTCTTAAAAATAGCATACAGGGTGGGTGCAGTGGCTCACACCTGTAATCCCAGCACTTGGGAGGCTGAGATGGGAGGATCGCTTGAAGCCAGGAGTTTGAGACCAGCTCGGTCAACGTAGTAAGACCCCATCTCTAAACAAACAAACAAACAAACAAACAAACAAAAGCATACTGTTGGATTTTGTTTGTCATCCAAAATGACAATCTCTTTCTTTTAACTCCTGAGTGGAATCAATTTTTCTTCTTTATGACACTATGATATATATTATATTCATGTATCATTTTGGGCTTTTTTACTTGCCCATATTTTCAATGCTATCTCCTCTCCTTTTTTTTTTTTTTTTTGAGACGGAGTCTCACTTTGTTGCTCAGGCTGGAGTGCAGTGGCGCAATCTTGGCTCACTGCAACCTCTGCCTCCTGGGTTCACGCCATTCTCCTGCCTCAGCCTCCCAAGTAGCTGGGACTACAGGCGCCCACCACCATGCCTGACTAGTTTTTTTGTATTTTTAGTAGAGACAGGGTTTCACCGTGTTAGCCAGGATGGTCTCGATCTCCTGACCTGGTGATCCGCCCGCCTTGGCCTCCCAAAGTGCTGGGATTACAGACGTGAGCCACCGCGCCCGGCCTCTCCTCTCCTTTTTTTTAACCTATTTTAGGATTAATTTACTTTTTGTTTAGTTCTATTTGTCTATACTGTTTTAGAAATTGTACATTTTGTTTTTTATTTTTAGTTGTTTAATTTTTAACAGTTGCTCTTTATATTTTAATATACATATATAACTTATAATTTAAAAGTATTAAACATTTTTATCATTCTTCTGAAAAATACAAAGATATTTGTCCTTAATTCCAACTGCCTGTTCCCATGATAGATGTTTTATGTAGAATTTTTTGTCATTTTAAACACTGCAAATTAGATATTTTTACTATTGCTTTACACAGATAATTTGTGAAGATTTACCCACATTTGTCAGCTTCTTTTCTCACTTTTTCTTTTGGTAACACAAACAGTTTCTTCTTCTGGAGTATCTTTAGCAGTTTCTTTAGTGAAGATAGTTGATGATAAGCACTCTTAGTATTTATTTATTTGAAAATGTAGATCGTGTTAGACATGGGTCAAATTTTTTCTATTTTTGTACATGGAGGTCCAGTTGCTCCAGCACCATTTGTTGAAATGGCTACCTTTTCCCTATTGGATTGCCTTGACATCTTTGTTGGAAATCATTCCATCATATACAGGAGAGTCTATTGTGTCTCCCTATTCTGTTTCACTGATCTATGTCTATCTTTTCACTAATACCCCACTGTCTTGATTACTATAGCTTTATATTAAGCTTTGAGATCAGGTAGTGTTCCTAAGTTGTTTTGGCTAATTTGATTCTCTTGCCTTTCTATATAAGTGTTAGAATAAGCCTATCGATTTCTATTTTTAAAAGCCTATGAAGAGTTTCATTTTGTTTTTGCTTTTGTTTTTGAGACAGGGTCTTGCTCTGTCAGCCAGGCTGGAGTGCAGTGGTGTGATCACAGCTCACTGCAGCCTTGACCTCCTGGGCTCACGTGGTCCTCCCACCTCAGCCTCCTGAGTAACGGGGACTACAGGCGCACACCACCACGCCTGGCTAATTTTTGTATTTTTATTAATAATAGAGACGGGATTTTACCATGTTTCTCAGGCTGGTCTCGAACTCCTGAGCACCAGAGATCTGCCTGCCTCGGCCTCCCAACGTGCTGGGATTACAGGCGTGACCCATCACCATGGCTGGCTGAAGAGTTTGATTTTCATTGTATTGAATTAATGGATCGATTTGGGGAGATTGACATATTAGCAATTATGAGTCCTCCAATTCTTTAACTCATTTTTGAAGTATCATTTAAAATAGCACCAATACATGAAATAATTCAATTTAAATCTATCAAAATATGTGCAAGAGTTGTATGCCGTACTCTAGCAGTCCCCAACCTTTTGAGCACCAGGGACTGGTTTTGTGGAAGACAATTTTTCCAGGGACTGGGGCATGGGATTGGGGGTGGGGGTTGGTTTTTTGGGATGAAACTGTTTCACCTCAGATCGTTAGGTATTAGATTCTCATAAGGAGCACACAACCTAGATCCCTTGCATGCACAGTTTCCAACAGGGTTCTCGCTTCTGTGAGAATCTAATGCTGCCGTTGATCTGACAGGAGGCAGAGCTCAGACAGTAATGCTTGCTCGTCTTCTGCTGTGCAGCTCGGTTCCTAGCAGGCCATGGACCAGTACTGGTCTTTAGGGGGTTGGGGACCACCACTGTAGGCTACAAAACTGTGGCAACTTCAAAGAAGATCTAATTGATTGGAGAGGTATGCCAGTTATTTATTTATTTATTTATTTATTATTATTATACTTTAAGTTCTAGGGTACATGTGCACAGCGTGCAGGTTTGTTACATATGTATACATGTGCCATGTTGGTGTGCTGCACCCGTTTACTGGTCATTTACATTAGGTATATCTCCTAATGCTATCCCTCCCCTCTCCTCACCCCACGAGAGGCCCTGGTTCAATTCCCACCTATGAGTGAGAACATGCGGTGTTTAGTTTTCTGTCCTTGTAATAGTTTGCTCAGAATGATGGTTTCCAGCTTCATCCATGTCCCTACAAAGGACATGAACTCATCCTTTTTTAATGGCTACAGAGATATGCCAGTTATTTTAATGGAGATAATTTAATATGAAGAATTGTTAATGAGGCATAAATTTGTTAACTAGGTTTCAGAAAACAACAAACAAACAAACAAACAAAATCCTAAGTGTTAGAAAGGTAGCAAGTGTTAGAAAGGTAGCAAAAGCAGCAAGTGCTCTCCCTAAAGCTGGGAGAGCAAAAGGAAGAGATTGGAATTACTAAAACTTTGCAAGCTTGGAGGAGGGGATGCATGAAGCTGAAATTTAGATTTTGGGGAAGGGGTTACCTCCCATTTGGTGGTGATATCTCTGAGCTCAGAGGTAGGGCCTTTTGGATTTGGAATCCAGACCTCTGAGGAGAGGCTCAGCTGGTGGGTGCTGGTCTCTCTGAGGGTATGCAATGAAGGATTGTTCTGCTAGTGCTGAAAAACTACACACTGAAGGCCGGGCACGGTGGCTCCTCCTTGTAATCCCAGCACTTTGGGAGGCCGAGGCAGGCGGATCACAAGGTCGAGAGTTCAAGACCAGCCTGGTCAATATGGTAAGACCCTGTCTCTACTAAAAATACAAAAATTGGCCAGGTGTGGTGGCATGCGCCTGTAGTCCCAGCTACTCAGGAGGCTGAGGCAGGAGAATTGCTTGAACCTGGGAGGCAGATGTTGCAGTGAGCCGAGATTGCGCCACTGCACTTCAGCCTGGGTAACAGAACGGGACTGTCTCAAAAAAAAAAAAAATGTAAAACTATGCACTGAATTCAGCTGATGCTATGGGAAAGAACTTCTGCCAAGGAGAAGCATTGCTGAGGTGATGTTCACAGGAACAGGAAGCAGACAGGAAGCCAACAGGAGAAAATCTCTCCATCCTTGCTTTCTGCCTTTAGTGCCTCCTATTGGCAGAGCCTAACAAGAAGCCAGCTGCTAGGTCAGAAGTGTGATGTACAGTCTCAGCCACAGCATCTCAAAACACAGAAGACTTAGCCTAACAACTGGAATAATCAGAGAGCAAAGGAAACCAAGTAGTAGGGTATTTATAGTATTAAAATACATGGCTTTACAGCAGTTGAAATGCTGACAATAATATTAAATAAAAACAAGTTTTACATAACAACCCAAATTAGAAATGAGTCAAGGAAGAAGCTATGCATGAGAAAATGAAGGGGGCAATTCAGCAAATTTAGAACTGTGTACACATCACAAAAATGAAGGCATGGCATGAATGCAAGCCTTCCACTGGGTTAATAGCATTTGTAGATGTAAAATGAGACATTGCAGACATTTTCTGGGCAAGCTCTTACCCAAGGTATCAATTCCTTTTTAAGATGTCATTGATCCGCATGTAGAAGGGATCAAAATTCTTGGCTAGTACTCAAAATTTTTTTTCGTACTCTGTTTTGGCAGTAGTTTCCCAAATCTTCTACACAATTTGATTTTATATATTTGGTTCATTTAGAAATTTCTGTATTCCTAATAAGATTTCTTTAGTTGTGATTGCTGGAATCCAATCCTTATCTTCTTCCAAGATGGGCAGACACAATGCGTCTAAAGGATAGCCATTGAGTGAAATAATGGTAGTTAAATTTACATTATTGTGTTGAGAATGGAAAATCATCCCTGGGAAACAATCATGGTTTTTTAAGCAGGTCTCTTTCCGTTTACTTTAAAAAATATTCCTTTTTTATTTTTAATTGATAATCGATAATTGTATACATTTATGGGGTGCATTGTGATGTTTTGATGAATCTGGAGAACATTAGCCTAGGTGAAGTAAGCCAGGCACAGAAAGACCAATATACCACAGAATTTTACTTATATGTGCAATCTGAAAAAGTTGCAGTCATAGAAGTAGAGAGTAGAATGGTGGTTACTGGGGCTGACGGAAGGGGATGGATCAGAAAGGGGAGATGTTGATTACAGGGTACAAAGTGTCAGACAGGAGTAATAAGCTCTAGTGATCTATTGCACAGAATGGTGACTATAATAAATAACTGCATTGCGTATTTCAAAGTTGCTAAAAGAGTAAATTTTAAATATTTTCACCATTAAAAAAGCCTTTCTTTTGTTTTGTTTTTTTGGAGACAGAGTCTTGCTCTGTCGCCCAGGCTGGAGTGCAATGGCGCGATCTCGGCTCACTGCAACCTCCACCTCCCGGGTTCAAGTGATTCTCCTACCTCAGCCTCCCAAGTAGCTGGGTCGCACCCACCACCACGCCTGGCTAATTTTTGTATTTTTAGTAGAGACAGGTTTCACTGTGTTGGCCAGGCTGGTCTTGAACTCCTGACCTCAGGTGATCCACCCGTCCTGGCCTCCCAAAGTGCTGGGATTACAGGCACGAGGCCACTGCACCCAGCCCCAAAAGTCTCTTTTTAATGGAGTTCTTTTCTCTCCTGGAGTGTCACTCTCTCAGTCCAGGAGGCTGATCCTGACATCTGGATTTTATGTAGATATTGTCACAAAACTAAATGAGGGGTCTTTTGCCACATTTTTCTCTTCTTGGATCTGCATGTAGGAGGGATGCCTGATATCCTTCATGTCCCCTTTTCCACGTTTAAATTGTAAGTTTCCCTTTATGTTTCCATTTATGATAGAGTCCCTTGCAGGCAGTTGGAACCCTCTTGGCATGGGTGGTGCTGGGAGAGCCAGGGTAGGCATTGGTGTGGGGAAAACTGTGCTTCTCTTTGCCTTGGGTGTCTTCTGGAGCCCTTGCCTGGTTTTTGATTCAACAAGAGACATTGTGCTTGAAGAATTGGAAAGATAATTTGGGGCACTGGATGATACCTTCCTCCAAACACCATCCACTTTTGCCTCAGCCACTTGGCTGTGCTAGCAAAGATTTAATCCATTTTGAGATGCAGTTGGTTTGACACTGGTTTTGATCTCTCTCTGTAAGGGCTGTCCCTGTCACTCCCTGCTAGCTCCTACTGGAAGACCTGGGGATACCTAACAGGGTCCTGTGCTCCAGTTTGTCTCTCTCTAGCCCTTAATACTACCAAAAGCTTTCTTAGCCTCTCAGCATCTTTGTTGCCATTTTCTTCCGAACTTCCCATATTCTCAGCTGGCCGCTTTTAGCAACACCTTGGGAGGAAAAAGCATTTAAGAGTTTCGCTCACATCTCTATACTTCCCTTCTCTTTGAGGTCCAGGTTCAATGTTGCACTGTTTTGGTAGCTTTCTGATGTTCGAAAACATCTTTTAAAACAAGAAATATGTTCTCCTTTTTTTAAAAAGAGATGTTCTTAATCGAAACTTGGTCTTGTGCAGGCCATAGTTTGAAGCAGAACCTATGCAGCTTTTGAAAACAATGATTATGTTTTTATTTCTAGAATTTCTTTTCAGATCATTTCAAAATATTCTTAATCCCTTTTTATAGGTTGGAACATAATTTCCATTTCCTATTTCATTAAATGTGTGCACATGGTTTATCAAGATAAAATTATTATAACCTAAAATGCACAAATCTTAATGGCACAGTGTGATGAATTTTGACAATCATATACACCTATGAAACCACTATCTAGTCAATGTATAGAATAGTGCTGTAATCCCAACAACTTCCCCATATATCTTTTCAATTAATTTTCCTCATCTCCCTTAAATGTTCTGGTTTTTGTTACCCATAGATTAATTTTGTCAGTTTTTGTTTGTTTGTTTGTTTGTTTGTTTGTTTTGAGATGGAGTCTCGTTTTGTTGCCCAGGCTGGAGTGCAGTGGCGCGATCTCGGCTCACTACAACCTCCACCTCCCGGGTTCAAGTGATTCTCCTGCCTCAGCCTCCTGCATAGCTGGGATTACAGGAGCACGCCACCACACCTGGCTAATTTTTGTATTTTTAGTAGAGATGGGGTTTCTCCATGTTGTCCAGGCTGGTCTTGAACTCCTGACGTCAAGTAATCCCCCACCTCAGCCTCCCAAAGTGCTGGGATTACAGGCATGAGCCACCATGCCTGGCCTGTTTTGTTTGCTTTTGAACTTTATATAAATAGAATCATACGGTATGTGTGTGGCTTTTGTATCTACCGTCTTCTGCTCAACATAGCGTTTTTGAGATCCGTCCACATTGTAGTTATTCCTATAATTTATTTCCTATCACTGAGTAGTATTTCACTGAATGAGTATGCCACACTTTGTTTATCCATTCTCCTATGGATGAACATTTGGGCTATTTCTAGGTTTTCGCCATTATAAATAAAGTTGCTATAGACATTATTGGACAGGTCTTTTTGTGGACATATGGCCTCTTCTATTTTTACTTAGTTATCTTCTGTATCTGATCATTTTAATACCTGAGTCATTTGGGATGTTACTCTTTGCTTTCTTGTTCATCTTTTCGTGGTGTTTGTTTCCTCGTGGTTTTGGCAGTTTTTGATTTGATGATATTTTGCTGACTGGGAATCCTGAGAATTCGCAGCAATTTCACATTTGCATCTTCCAGGTACCCAGGGTGATTCTGAGTGAGAAGCACTTGAGATTAATTTTTCTTTGGGGTTCCTTATGTAGAAGCAGTATATTTTCAAACCCCTTCTATGGGAAGGAAGGCTTGTGCTTATAAATTTCCAGGAAGCTTTTTTTTTTTTTTTGAGAGAGGGTCTCACTCTGATGCCCAGGCTGGAGTGCAGTGGTGCAAACACAGCTTACTGAAGCTTTGTCCTCCTGGGCTCAAGCATTCCTCCCATTTTTGTAGAGATGGGTGTCTCACCATGTTGCCCAGGCTGGCCTCGAACTCCTGGGCTCGAGCAATCTGCCCTCCTCTGCCTCCCAAACTACTGGGATTACAGGTGTGAGCACCACGCCTGGCTTTATTTATTTATTAATTTTTTTAACCACAACCTGTAGCCTGAGACAGACAAGTTTCCCAGTCAGCCTCTACATTGACACTTCCTCACAGTCACCACTCTTCAGGGCGTAACTCCTCAGAGATCGTGGATTCAGGTAGAGGTCTCACGTCCCATCCTCCACCTTGGGTCTCTCAGTGCCTTGGATCTTTCATGAGACTGTTAACGTCGGGCTTCCAGGCTCTGGGCAGAAGACCCTAGATGTTAAAGTAGGGTAACCTGAGGTTCTCTCATTGGTCTCCTTTTAGGTCCTTCTTCATTTTCATGTCACCAGATTATCCCCTCCCTCTGAACCGAGGTGCCTGTGTTTTAGAAATGCCAGGGAAATGCTTACTGGGGCTGGCAAACAGGAGCATTTGTGGGCTCTGGAGCACCCAGTGCTGGCTGCCTGGCACTGCCAGTCCACTAAGTGGCCTTGAGCAAGTGGCCTGGCCTCCAGGAGCCCCAATTTCCTCACCTGTAAAGTACAGATAATCCTTCCCCACTCCCCGTGGGATTGTGATGAGCACCAAATATGTCTGTGCACGGAGCTTAGCACACGGTAGGCACACATCGGAGGGCTAGTATGAGCTATCAGCCCTCCTCCGCAGCTTGTGGTCAGGTCTGGCAAGCTGTTGATCTTAGCATATGTTAGCAAACTGGTGCCAACAAACATTTTATGCAATGTAGTTTAAAAGAAAACTTGTAATGACTACCAGAAGAAAAAGTAAGTCAACAGGACAAGTCAGTCCAAGACTGAGACACCCGCAGGGAGGGCTGTCTGTCTCTCGGTTTCCCTCTTCACTTTCAGAACTTGTGGATTTCTCTTACTTTCTTCTGAGCCAAGCTATGCATTAAAAAAAAAAAGGTTGTCTATCTTGTACTTTTAGATATTTATAGCACAAGTTCCTCTCCCTCACCACCCACCCTGGCAATATCTGGCCACCTTTTTGCCAGAAGTACAGTCCTCAAAATACTTTTCCCCAAGCTCTGCTCTGTCTTCTGCAGAGGGTATATCTCTGCTTCAGGCTTTCCACTTTCCGCATTCCTATTTTTGGAGTGAGCAGCAAGTCTGCTTACTCAGCATAAAATCCTGTATCGTCACAGGTTTTTTGGATAGTGTTTTAGCATTTACTTCTTTCCCCCTGTCTTTGATCAGAAGTGGCAGAGCTCTTTGCTGGTTTGCTACCTGGTGTCACCAACATCTAGTTTTTTGTCAAGTTTTCTCCTTCGGCCTACTTCCCACCTCCCCTGCCTCAGTGGGCGTGAGTGAGTTCTGAGATGCTTCTCCTTCACTGCCAAGCTCACGGTTGCCGGTTGGCCTGTGTGCTGACTTCTGCAGAAATATGCACCACCCAAGGGCTAGAGAGGGACTTGGCTAATCCCTGCCTGCTCTGTCGACTTGGCCCAAATGGCAGTTACTCCCCATCAACTGGGCTTCAGGGTTTTGGTTGTTTCGTAGTTTCCCTGAAGGTGGATTTTCTTCTCTGTTTTCCATTATTTTTGGAAAGGAGATTTGTGTAGAAAGGCTTTTGCACTGCCATCTTAGCAGAGGTGGTCTGTTCCAGGTGTGAGTACTCCCTGAGCTGCCGTGGCCAGCCTGGAGGCTGGGTCTTATTTTATATTTGGGGCTCCCGATCTGGGACTCTAGATACCCACCCCCATATCTAAGACATCCTGAGACCTGGATTTGTTAATAAATATCTTAAGGCCAGGTGCAGTCGTGCCTATAATCCCAGCACTTTGGGAGGCCAAGACAGGAGGATCCCTTGAGTCCAGGGCTTCAAGACCAGCCTGGGCCCATCTCTACAAAAAGACTAAAATAATTAGTTGGGCATGGTGGCATACGCTTGTAGTCCCAGCTACTTGGGAGGCTGAGGCTGGAGGATTGATTGAGCCCAGGAGACGGCAGCTGCAGTGGACTGTGATTGCACCACTGCACTCTAGCCTGGGCAACAGAGTGAGACCCTGTCTCAAAAATAAAATAATGAAAAAGAGACATACGTTAACCTCTCTGTATCTTAGTCTTCTTTTCATAAAATGGGACTTTGAGGACTTGTGCTACTGGCCATATGAGGTTGTCTTGAGCATCAACTGAGGTAATAAATATGAAAGTACTTTAGAGACAGTCAACCTCTCTCTTTTTTCAGGTCTCATCATGGGAAGAGCGAGCCAGTTCTGTTTCACAGGGTTTGGCTATTTCTCCCATGGTCACCTTACTCCATTCTGCAGCCTAGCTTGCCCTCCTGACCTGGGAAGCCCAAACGCTGCCCTGGCTGTGTGATACCAAGGAGTCCATCCCTCTTCAGTGCCCTGAATACAAAACGGTTGTGGAGAGCCTGGAGTGATCTCAATCACCACTGGGTGTCGCTCTTGGACTCAAAATTGTGTGGTACCTCCAGCTCTGTAGATTTCCTTTCCTCAGCCTTGCTTCTCGGCAGTGAGCGTGGACAGTCTCAATTTCCAGTATGTGTCCCCTGCCTTCTTTTTTTGTTTTTGTTTTTTTGAGAAAGAGTCTCGCGGTGTAACCCAGGTTGAAGTGCAGTGGTGCGATCTTGGCTCACTGCAACCTCCACCTCGCGGGTTCAAGTGATTCTCCTACCTCAGCCTCCCTAGTAGCTGGGATTACAGGTGCCTGCCGCCATGCCCGGCTAATTTTTGTATTTTTAGTACAGATGGGGTTTTACCATGTTAGCCAGCTGGTCTCGAACTCTGACCTCAGGTGATCCGCCCGGCTCAGCCTCCCAAAGTGCTGGGATTACAGGCATGAGCCACCGCACCTGGCCTCCCTACATTCTTAAAATTCTTGGCAGCAACACTTGGAGTCATCAGACAGCATTCATTCAGGCCTTTGCTTTCAGGTGGAAGGTGCTTGTGCCATCCTAATTTATTTTAATTTTTGCCTAACCAACATATGACCAGAAAGGTATGTATCTATGGCCAAAATGTTCATAAGATGAATTTCAGGACTAAAAGTCAGCAAATTTTTAGAATCAGCACATTTGGGACTGGTTATGTCAAGTCCCCTTCCACCACTCTCCCCAAGATTTTGCTGCTAAAAAAATGTTTTAAAAGTGTTGCCTCGGGGTGACCTAGTTATTCTAACAGCAGCACGAGGAAGAGGGAAATTTCTGACTTTACTCCACCAAAGTCCTCCAGCTCCACAAAGCCAATGGCTGCTGCAGTTTAGCTTTTATCTTTCTGGAGCTCTCTAGGGGCATCAACTGTTGATTACTCTCCTGTTTTAAAAATTCTCCCTGAACTTTTGTTCACTATTTTCTCCTGATATATTTGCTAGTTCTCTGGTTCCCCCATATTCTTTCCCCTTAAATGTCATCATTTCCTATGCTGCTGTCCTTGGTCTCTGTTCTTCAACTCTGCACAATCTACTCACCCATTGGTTCCAAATCCACATCTTATATTCAGGCCTTTGTGCATTGCCATCTCTACTTGGGTGTCCTGAAGGACATTGTTTTAGAAAGCAGCTTTATTGAGGTATTTATATACAATAAAATTCATTCATTTTAGGTGTATAGTTTCACAAATTTTGGTGACTGTATAATATATAGTCACGTAACTGCCACCTCAATCAAGATATTGGTCTCAGAAAAATGCACTGTCTCTCACTCTGTAAAATTTCTTTTTCACATCTTGGCCTTGGCTTTCAGTGTTCTCGCACCTCAAAAAGCTTCCTCCTACTCCTTTGCAGTTGGTCCCCTCCCCCACCCCTAACCTAGTCCCTGACATGCACTGACGTCTGCTTTCTGTCGCTATGATGTTTTGCCTTTTCTAGAACTTTAGAAAAATGGAATCCCGTGGTGTATGGTCTTTGTGTTTGACTGCTTTCACTTGACCTAATCCCCACTACCGATGTGTGCAAAAACAATCTCATTTTTCATGCCAGGCTCTGCATGTGATGGCCCCTCCATTCACCCCGACATCAAAGCCAGAAAGCTAAGGTTCACCCTCCCAAGGCCCCTTCCTCTCACTGCCCCCCTCCAATTACACCCCATGCCATGAGTAATTAGTCAGGAAGTCCTAGCGCGTCTCTCTGTTCTGTATTTTTTTTTATTTTTTTGAGACGGAGTCTTGCTCTGTCACCCAGGTTGGAGAAGAAGTGGTGCGATCTCGGGTCATTGACACCTCTGCCTCCCAGGTTCAAGAGATTGTCTTGCCTCGGCCCCCTGAGCAGCTGGGATTACAGGCATGCACCACCACATCCGGCTAATTTTTGTATTTTTAGTAGAGATGGGGTTTCGCCATGTTGGCCAGGCTGATCTCAAACTCCTGGCCTCAAGTGATTCACCCGCCTTGGCCTCCCAAAGCGCTGGGATTACAGGCATGAGCCACTGCGCCCGGCCTATTCTATATTTTTCAGTCCACCTTTCTCTTTATTCTCAAGGTTGCTGACTTAAGTGAGATTCTCTTCATTTCTTGCCTCTCCTAACTGGTCTTCATGCCTCTAGTCAGGACTTTTTCAATCTGCCCTTCTGAAAACTGCCATTGTGACCTTCTAAAACACAAATCTGCCTGTAATCCCAGTCCTTTTGGAGGCCAAGGCAGGAAGGATGGCTTGAGGCTAGGAGTTTGAGGCCAGCCTGGGCAACAAAGCAAGACCCTGTCTCTACAAAACATTTTAAAAATTAGCCAGGTATAGTGGCTCACAAACTGTAGTCACAGCTACTTGGGAGGCAGAATCAGGAGAATCGTTTGAGCCCAGGACTTTGAGGCTGCAGTGAGCTATGATTGTGCCACTGCGCTCCAGCCTGGGCAACAGAGAATGACCCTGTCTCTAAAAACAAAGCTAATATCAAACAAACAAAACCCACAAATCTGCTCTTTACCACTCCCCTACTTCAGTGGTTCCCCATGGCTTCTCTGCTTAGCAAATGACACCCTTCATAATTTGATTTATTTCTGCCTAAATCTCTATATCTTATTTTCCAGAACTCTCTCAAATGCAGCCTATACTCAGCCATTACTTGTGCATCTTTTTCCAAGGGCCATGCTCACTCATGCTTCTGTGTGCATGCTGTTCCCTCAGCCTGGGAAACCCCTTTCCTCCTCCTTCCTCTAGCCAACTCCTACCTACTCCTTAAGAGTCAACCCACCTGACTCCTCCTGTGCAATACCTTCCCTCGCCAGTGCCCCAGACTGGGTTAGGTGCTCCTCCAAGGTGTTCCCTCCATCATAGCGTTGATCATCAGTCATTATCAATCTACTTACTTGTCGAGTTAGTCATCTGTCCCTCCCACTAGACTATAAGTTCTTTGAGGAGTTTGTGTCTTGCTCAACTTTGTTTCCTTGTTCCTAGCACAGGGTCAGGCACATTGGAGGCATCCAATGAATGCCCTCGGAATGACTGAGGGAGGATGGAGGGAGAGATCTGAAGCTTCTTGAGGAGGCAGGGGCGAGAGTCAGGAAGACCTGGTATGGAAAATAAATGCCCCATTCTATGGCCTCAATCATAGATACATCTACTACTGTGAAAGAGGAGAAGAGTTAGGTGGGAGTCCTGGCAGAGAATCCATGAAGGAGAATGAAGTGTGGGAAGGCAAGTTCAAACGCCTGGTGCCCTGGCTTTGGCAGTGAAAGTGTCTGATGAGGGAAGGAGGATAGTGTGAGGGAAAACCAAGAGGGAATGAGATCTTAAATGATGCCACACAACAAAATGAGAGAAGCACATATTCTTAGATTTTTTTTTTTTTTTGAGACAGGGTCTTGCTCTGTCATCTAGGCTTGAGCGCAGTGGCATGATCACAGCTCACTGCAGCCTCTACCTTTCAGGCTTAAGCAACCCTCCTACCTCAGTCCTTCTGGTAGCTGGGAGTATAGGCGTATGCCACCATGTCCAGCTAATTTTTAAATTTTTTGTAGAGACAGGGTCTCAGTTTGTTGCCTGGGTTGGTCTTGAACTCTTGGGCTCAAGGAATCCTCCTACCTTGGCCTCCCAAAGTGCTAGCATTACAGGTGTGAGCCACTGTACCTGGCCTCATTCCTAGATTTTTGTGTGAAACAAAGACTCCTGAGTCCCAGACAGTGTTGTTTTCACACCACACACTAGATGGGTCCCAATTGTTGTTTCTTACCATGAACAGGGTCCTGTAGTTTTCACAGCACTTTCCCAAGCACTGTCTTATGGTTTCTGCACATCAACCCAGGAAAGCAGACAAAGATGAGATGATGAATCCTGCCTAACCAATGAGGAATCAGAGGCTAAGAGATTCTAGCGCCTTACTCATGCCACAGGGCTGGACCTCTTCCTATGACAGCTTCTGTCTCTAAGGTGAGACCTTGGGCTGAGTTGCCAACGTCAGTTGTGTTTAAAAATGACATACCTGAGAAGGCTGTTGACTATTTGCTGACTCTACAATGAGACAATAGAGACCTGACAAAGGATGTCCAGAGGTGGAAAAAGCTACTGTAGGTTGGAGAGCAATCTCTGAGTGAATGAAATGTTGGAACCATTTAATGTTAGGTGAACAGGAGAACTGTGAATTCCCTAAAGTCTAATGTCTTCCAATTGCACAGCTGGGGCAGCTGGCCAAGGAGACTTTGGACTAGCTGGAGCTTTATGGGATGAAACATTTCCTGTGGTGGTACCTTTTCCTTTTTTTAATGAAACAGAAAAGAAATGATTCTCAGAGGAGAAAAGAGATTGTCATAAAAGGAGACATTTTTCTTTTCACTCTTTAGTAGATGTTGTTGTGTTAAATGCTGTTGAATCTTAATACCATACTATCAATCTTACCACAATATAAAATACGGAAATTTTTGTTTTGAATGGAAGATCAGCATTTTTCTTAGTCTATATAATCTAGAGGTTAAGAATACAGGTTAGTAAATCCTGGCTGCACCACTTACTAGCTGTAGGACCTTTTTTTTATTTTATAGAATTGCTTATGCATTCTATACCTTAGGTCTGCTTCTACCACATAGGCTTATTTAAGTATTAACTAATATAATCAACAGAAAGAATTTAACATATTGTTGATAATATTATAATAATGTAGTTTATGTTTGCATGTAGCTTGTTTTAACTTTTTTTTTTTTGAGACAGAATCTCACTCTACTGCCCAGCCTGGAGTGCGGTGGTATGATCTTGGCTCACTGTAGCCTTCACTTCCTGGGCTCAAGTAATCCTTCTGCCTCAGCTTCCCAAGTAGCTGGGACTATAGGTATGCACCACCACACCTGGCTAATTTTTTAATTTTTATTTTTGTAGAGATGAGGTATTTTTTACTATGTTGCCCAGGCTGGTCTCGAACTCCTGGCCTCAAGGGATCTTTCTGCCTTGGCCTCCCAAAGTGCTGGGATTATGGGCATGAGCCACCGTGCCTGGACCCATTTCATTCTTATAATAACCATATGAAATAGGCAGGGCAGGTATTATTATTGCATTTCAAAATTTTTTTAATTTTTATTTTTTGTGGGTACATGGTAGGTGTATATATTTATGTGGTACATGAGATATTTTGATACAGGCATGCAATGCATAATAATCACGTCAGGGTAAATAGGGCATCCATCAAGTTAAGTATTTATCCTTTGTGTTAAAAACAATTCATTTATACTCTTAGTTATTTTGAAATGTATAATTAAATTATTATTGACTATAGTCACCCTGGTTGTGCTATCAAATAGTAGTTCTTATTCATTCTTTCTATGTGTTTTTATACCCATTAACCATCCCACTTCCCCCACTAACCCTCAGTACACTCAGCCTCTGATAACCATCCTTTTACTCCCTATCTCCATGAGTTCAGTCATTGTAATTCCTTTTTCAAAGAATAGGATCTCGCTATGTTGCCCAGGCAGGTCTCAAACTCCTGAGCTCAAGCTGTCCTCCTGCCTCTGCCTCCCTAAGTGCTGAGATTATAGGCATGAGCCACTGTGTCTGGCAGAACTCCTTTTATATTCTGATTCTTAATCCTTGTCAAATGGGTAGTTTGCCAATATTTTCTCTTATTCTTTAGGTTGTCTCTTTACTTTGTTCTTTCCTTTGGAGTGCAGAAGCTTTTTAACTTGATGTGATCCCATTTGTCCATTTCTGCTTTGGTTGCCTATTCTTATGGGGTATTACTCAAGAAATCTTGGCCCACTCCAATGTCCTGGAGCATCTCCTCAATGTTGTCTTTCAGTAGTCTCATAGTTTGAGGTCTTAGATTTAAGTATTTAATCTATTTTGATTTGGATTTTGTATATGGCAAGAGATAGAGGTCTGGTTTCCTTCTGCTGCTATGGATATCTAGTTTTCCCAGCACCATTTATTGAAGAGACTGTCTTTTTCTCAATATATGTTATTGGCACCTTTTTTGAAAATGAGTTCACCGTAGATGCATGGATTTGTTTCTGGGTTCTCTATTCTGTTCCATTGGTCTATGTGTCTGCTTTTATGCCAATACCATGCTGTTTTGATTACTATAGCTCTGTAGTATAATTTGAAGTCAGATAATGTGATTTCTTGAGTAATACCCCATGAGCAGTTTTGTTCCAGTTTTGTTCTTTTCGTTCAGAATAACTTTGGCTATTCTGGGTGTTTTGTGGTTCAGTATAAATTTTAGAAGTGTTTTTTCTATTTCTGTGAAGAATGTCATTGGTATTAGAATGGTGCAAAAGTAATTGCAGTTTTTGTCTTTGAAAGTAATGGCAAAAACCACAATTACTTTTGTACCAAACTTAATATTTTGACAGGGGTTGTATTGAATCTGTAGATTGCTTTGGGCAGTATGGACATTTTAACTATATTTATTCTTCCAATCCATGAACATGGAATATCTTTCCATTCTTCTGTGTCTTCTTCAAGTTTTTCCATCGGTGTTTCATAGTGTTCACCATAGAGATCTTTCACTTGTTTGGTTAAGTTAATTCCTAGATCTTTTATTTTATTTGCAGTTGTTGTAAATGGGGTTACTTTCTTGATTTCTTTTTCAGATTGTTCACTGTTGGCATATAGAAATGCTGCTGATATTTGTATGTTGATTTTGTATCCTGGAACTTTACTGAATTTGTTAATCAGTTCAATACTATTTTTGTTGGAGTCTTTAGGTTTTTTCAAATATACGCTCATACCATCTGCAAACAAACTTAAGTTGACTTCTTGCTTTCCAAGTTGGTTGCTCTTTATTTCTTTCTTTTGTGTGACTGCTCTAGCTAGGACTTCTAGTACTATGTTGAATAACAGTGGTAAAAGTGGGCATCCTTGTCATGTTCCAGATCTTAGAGGAAAGGCTTTCAGTTTTTCCCCATTCAGGATAATACTCGGCGTGGGTCTATCATATATGAATTTTATTATGTTGAGGCATGTTTATCATGAAGGTATCTTGAATTTTTTCAAATGCTTTTCAGCATCAATTGAAATGATCATATGGTTTTTGTCCTTTCTGTTGACATAATATATTACATTGATTGATTTCTGTATATTGAACCATCCTTGCATCCCTGGGATGAATCCCACTTGGTCATAATGAATAATCTTTTTAATGTGTTGTTGAATTTGGTTTGCTACTATTTTTTTGATGAATTTTGCATCAATATTATTCAGGGATATTGGCCTATAGTTCCCTTTTTTGATGTATCTTTGTTTGGTTTTGGTATAAGGGTAACACTGGCCTTGTAGAATGAGTTTGGAAGTATTCCCTCCTCCTCTATTATTTGGAACAGTTTGAGTAGGACTGGTATCAGTTCTTCTTTAAATGTTTGGTAGAATTCAGCAGTGAGGCTATCCAGTCTCTGGCTTTTCTTTGCTAGGAGACTTTTTATTGCCTTCAATCTCATTACTTGTTATTGGTCTGTTCAGGTTTTGGATTTCTTTATGGCTAAATCTTTGTAGGTTGTATGTATCTAGAAAATTATCCATTTCTTCTAGATTTGCCAAGTTACTAGCATATGGTTGCTCCTAGTAGCTACTAAAGATCCTTGGAATTTTTGTGGCATTGGTCTTAATGCCTTTTTCATCTCTAATTTTATTATTTGGGTCTTCTTTATTTTTTTCTTAGTGTGGCTAAAGGGTTGTCAATTTTGTTTATCTTTTCAAAAACCCAACTTTTAGTTTTACTGATCTTTTGTATTGTTTTCTTCATTTCCATTTTGTTTATTTCTGCTCTGATCTTTATTGTATCTTTTCTTCTACTAATTTTGAGTGTGATTTACTCTTGCTTTTCGAGTTCTTTAAGATGCATCATTAGGTATTTATTTGAAGTTTTTCTTTTTTTGTTGTTGTAGATACTTTTAGTTATAAAATTCCCTCTTATTATTGCTTTTGCTATATCCTATAGGTTTTGGTATGTCATATTTCCATTATCATTTGTTTCAAGAAAATTTTCAGTTCCCTTCTTAATTTCTTCATTGATTTGCTGGTCATTCAAGAGCATATTGTTTAATTTCCATGCGTTTATATAGTTCCCAAAGTTCCTCTTGTTATTTATTTCTAGTTTTATTCCATGTGGTCAAAGAATATCCTTGATATTATTTCATTTTTTTTTTGAATTTTTTAAGACTTGCTTTGTGACATAACATATGGTTTATCCTCAAGAATGATCTTTGTGCTGAGGAGAAGAATGTGTATTCTGCACCCATTGGGTGAAATGTTCTGTACATATCTATTAGGTCCAACTTATCTATAGTGCAGATTAAGTCCAATGTTACTTTGTTGATTTTCTGTTTGGAAGATCTGTCCAATGTTGAAAATGGGTTGTTGAAGTCCCCAGCTGTTACTGTATTGGAGTCTATCTCTCTCTTTAGCTCTAGTAATATTTGCTTTAGATATCTGGGTGCTCCAGTATTGGGCATTTATATATTTACAATTATTATATCCTCTTGCTAAATTGACCCCATTATCATCATATAATGACCTTCTTTGTCTCTTAACTATAGTTTTTGTCTTGAAATCTATTTTGTCTTATGTAAGAATAGCTACTCCTGCTCTGTTTTGGTTTCCATTGGCTTGGAATATCTTTTTCCGTCCCTTTATTTTCAATCTGTGTTTGTCTTCATAGGCAAAATATGTTTCTTGTAGACAACAGATCATTGAGTCTTATTTTTTTAAAAAATCTATTCAGCCACTGTATGTCTTTTGATTGGAGAGTTTAGTCCATTACATTCAATGTTGTTACTGGTAAGTAAGGACTTACTCCTGCCATTTTGTTATTTGTTTTCGGGTTGTTTTGTGGTCTTCTCTTCCTTCTTTCCCTCCTTCCTGTCTTCCTTCTAGTGAAGGTTATTTTCTCTGGTGGTATGATTTAATTTCTTGCTTTTCATTTTTTGTGTATCTGTTGTATGTTTTTTGATTTGACGTTACCACACGGCTTGCAAATACTATCTTATAACCCACTATTTTAAACTGATGACAGCTTAACACTGAATGAATAAATAAATAAACAAGCAAAAAAGAAAACTAATAAAAACTCTACACTTTAACTTCATCCCCCGCTTTTTTAACTTTTTGTTGTTTCTGTTTATATCTTATAGTACTGTCTATGTCTTGAAAAGCTGTTGTAGTTATTATTTTTGATTGGTTCATCTTTTAGTCTTCTTAGATAAAAGTAGTTTATATAGCACAATTACAGTGTTATAATATTGTGTTTTTTTTTCTGTGTACTTACTACTACCAGTGAGTTTTGTACCTTCAGATGCTTTCTTATTGCTCATGAATGACCTTTTTCAGATTGAAGAACACCTTTTAGCATATTTTGTAGGACAGGTCTGATTTTGATGAAATCCTTCAGCTTTTGTTTGTCTTGGAAAGTCATTATTTGTCCTTCATGTGTGAAGGATATTTTTTGCCAGATATACTATTTTAGGGTAAAAGTTGTTTTCCTTCAGCATTTTAAATATGTCATGTCATTCTCTCCTGGATTGTAAGGTTTCCACTGAAAAGTCTGCTGCCAGACATACTGTGTGTTATTTGTTTCTTTTCTCTTGCTGCTTTTAGGATTCTTTATTTATCCTTGACCTTTGAGAGTTTGACTATTAAATGCCTTGAAGTGGTCTTCTTTGGGTTAAATATGCTTGGTGTTCTATAACCTTCTGGGACTTGAGTATTGATATATTTCTCTAGGTTTGGGAAGTTCTCTGTTATTATCCCTTGGAATAAACTTCTACCCCATCTATTTCTCTACCTACACTTTAAGGCCAATAACTCTTAGATTTGCCTTTTTGTGGCTATTTTCTAGATCTCATAGGTGTGCTTCATTCTTTTTTATTTTTTCCTTTTGTTTCCTCCTACTGTGTATTTTCAAATAGTCTGTCTTCAAGCTCACTAATTCTTTCCTCTGCTTGATCAATTCTGCTATTAAGAGACTCTGATGCATTCTTTAGTATGCCAGTTACATTTTTCAACTCCAAAATTTCTGCTTGGTTCTTTGTAATTATTTCAATCTCTTTTTAAAATTTATCTGATAAAATTCTGAATACCTTCTTTGTGTTATCTTGAATTTCTTTGAGTTTCCTCAAAACAGCACTTTTGAATTCTCTGTTAGAAAGGTCATCTCTGTTTCTCCAGGATTGGTCCCTGGTGCCTTATTTAGTTTATTTGGTGAGGTTATGTTTTCCTGGATGGTCTTGATGCTTGTGGATGTTTGTCAGTGTCTGGGCATTGAAGAGTTAGGTATTTATTGTAGTCTTTGGAGTCTGGACTTGTTTGTACCTGTCATTCTTGGAAAGGGTTTCCAGGTATTCAAAAGGACTTGGATGTTGTGTTCTAAGCTGTATTTGCATGAGGGGCCTCCTAAGCCCAGCAATGCTGTAGCTCTTGCAGACTCATAGAGGTACTGCCTTGGTGGTCTTAGATAATATCTGGAAGAATTATCTGGATTACCAGGCAGACACTCTTGTTCTTTTCCTTTACTTTCTCCCAAACAAATGGAGCCCCTCTATCTCTGTACTGAGCTTCCTGGAGCTGGGGGTTGGGGGACACAAGCACTGTGGCCACCGCCACCACTGGGATTTTGCTGGGTCAGACTTAAAGCCAGCACAATACTGGGTCTCACCCAGGGACTGCTGTAACAGCACCTGGCTACCACCTATGTTTACTCAAGGCCCTAGAGCTCTACCATCAGCAGGTGGCAAAGCCAGCCAGGCTCGCCTCCTTCCCTTCAAGGCAGTGATTTCCCCAGGGCCCAGGTGGGTCCAGAGATGCCATTCAGGAGCCAAACTGGAGTCAAAAACCTTGGAAATCTACCTGGTGCTCTATTCTGTTGCAGCCAAGCTGGTGCTCAAACCATGAGACAAAGTCCTTCCCACTCTTCCTTCCCCTTTCCACAGGCAGAGGAGCCTCTCCTCATGGCCTCCCCCACCACAGACCCATGGACTAGGGTGATGGGTCTACCCTAGTACTAGAACTAGGCTACCGCTGATGTTCAACTAAGGCCCAAGAATGCTTCAGTCAGCTTGTGGTGTATGCTTTGAGGCCCGAAGCTCATTGTTCAAGGCAGTGGGCTCCCCTTTGGCCCAGGGCAGGTCCAGAAATGCTGTCCAAGAGCCAAGACCTGAAACTGGGGACACTAAGGGCCTGCTCTGTGCTCTATACATCTCAGAGTCTCACCTAAGGCTACCTAGGTATTACTCCTGGTTCTTTAGTTAGCAGGTGATGAATCCTGCAAGGGCTGGGTCCTTCCCTTCAAGGCAGTGGATTCCCTTCTGGCCCAGGATGAGTCTAGATATGTCATCTGGGAGCTAGGGCCTAGAATGGGGGCCTCACAAACCTTGCTGATGTTGTATCCTACTGTGGCTGAGCTGGTATCCAAGAAGTAAGACAAAGTTCTCTTTACTCTTCCCTCTCCTCTCCTGAAGCAGAAGGAAGTAGTAATTTTTTTTTCTGGGAGCTGCACTGCCTGGGGTTGATGGGGGAGTGGTGCAAGCACTCCCTTAGCCACCCTGGATGGTGTCTTAGTAGGTTGTGTGCCCACCATGTCCACTGGCTCTGAGCCCAGCAGAGCATGAGGACTTGCCTAGGAATAGCAGTCCTGTGACACAGACTGCCTTTCAAGTTTATTTAGGACCTCAGAGCACTTCAGCCTGTGGTGATGAGGCTTGCTGAAACTCAAGTTCTGATGGCTGGGATGGGCAATCCGCCCTGGCTAAGGCTGGTCCAAATACTCCCTCTGTGAGCGGGCACCTGCTAAGTTTAGCTCGGATTTGCTTTCTGCCGTGGCAGGGCAGCACTGAGTTCAATGCCGGATCCCAGAATCACTGTGTTTTCCCTACCCCAAGCACACAGATTCTCCATGCCATGCTGCAGGGGAATGGGAGAGAGGTGGCATTGGAATTCAAGAATGCTTTTCTACTCTTGTCATGCCTCTTTCAGTGATGTAAAGTTAAAATCAGGTACTGTGATTGCTTACCTGATTTTTGGTTCTTATGAGCGTGCTTTCTTGATGTGTAGATAGTTGTTAAATTTGATGTTCCAGTAGCGGGGGATGATTGGTGATGGCTTCTATTTGGCTGTCCTGCTCCACACCCTATTATTGCTTTTTAGACAGATGAGAAAACTGCAGCCCAGAAAGCTGAGGTGATTTAGGCAAGGTCACAGAACTAATAAAGGACAGTCTCTTGGTTGCCAATTCAGGCTGCTTCGTACCAGTTCACCTTTACAGAGACGGTGGAACTAGAAATTATCACTGGAGAGTGAAATAGCTGGTATTGTGGAGGTCTTGGCCTCTTTTTCCTAACCTTTATGATCTGGGGTTTGCCCTCATTGGGCTCTGGATTGTAAGTTCTGAACGTAAGTTGGGGCTCTATGAATTAGATTGTTGTGTGTCAAATCCTACTTATTGGTTTTAGAAATGAAGCCTTTGTTACTTTCATTAACTTATTCTTTGGATTGTTTTATATACACATTTTATTCTTAAGTTTTACCTGATTAGAGATGCAGTCCATTCTAATCTTTCAGTATATATTTGTCAAGTACCTACTTTGTGCCAGGAAATGTGCCAAGTCATTTCACACGTATTTTCTAACTTAATCTTATAACAACCCTGTGAATTCTGGTAAATTGTCTTAACTTTATCAAAAAGGAAACAGAGGCTCAGAGATGTTGTTATGCATCCCAATGTATTAAAAACCACTACAAGAAAGGAATATTCCAGATCAATCTCTTCCTTGAATGATGGTACGGAATTCCAAGAACATATTAACAACCTGATCCAGCAATATGTAGAAAAGATAATGTATCATGACCAAGTTGGATTTATATAGGAAATCAAGGGGTATGTTTAACATTAAAAAATTGGCCAATGCAATTTACCAAATTAACACAATAATGGAGAAAAATCATATGATAAGTTTGATAGATGAAGCAGAACATTTGATTTTTTAAAAAACCTTCTTAGCTAAGAATAAAAGGAAATTTTTTTTATTCAGATAATGGAAAATTGTAAAAAACAGTAATAAAAATCTACTTGAAAATTAATTTATAAATTAATAAAAAACATAATTAATGGTAACATTTTGGAAGGTTTCCCAATAAGATTAGGAAGGAGACAATGATACCCTCTAACACCAATTCTCTTCAACATTGTACTGAATGTTCTAGCCAGGGAAATAAGTCAAGAAGAAAAACGGCAAAATGAATGGAAAGGAAGAAATAAAACTCTCGTTATTTGTAGATGATGTGATTGTGTATACAGAAAGCTCAAAAGATTTCACAAAAGTAGGATTCAAATTGTTAGGTTGGCTCACGCCTGTAATCCCAACACTTTGGGAGGCCGAGGAGGGCAGATCACTTGAGGTTGGGAGTTTGAGACCAGCCTGGCCAACATGGTGAAACCCCGTCTCTACTAAAAATACAAAAATTAGCTAGGCATGGTGGTGCGTGCCTGTAGTCCCAACTACTCGGGAAGCTGAGGCAGGAGAATCGCTTGGACCCAGGAATTGGAGGTTGCAGTGAGCTGAGACCGCACCATTGCACTCCGGCTGGGGCGACAGAGTGAGACTATGTGTCAAAATACAAAACAAAATGAAACAAAACAAAAAACAAACAAACAAAATATCAAATTGTTAGGTAAGTTTAAGGCCCCTAGATATAAGGCCCCTAGATATTGACAATGGTCAATAAACAATTAGAAAATAAAATCTTAAAAACATACCACTTATGGCTGGGTGTGGTGGCACATGCCTGTAATCCAAGCACTTTGGGAGGCTGAGGCGGGCAGATCACCTGAGGTCAGGAGTTCGAGACCAGCCTGGCCAACATGGTGAAACCCTGTCTCTACTAAAAATACAAAAATTAGTCAGCATGGTGGTGTGTGCCTGTAACCCCAGCTACTCGAGAAGCTGAGGCAGGAGAATTGCTTGGACCCGGGAATCAGACGTTGCAGTGAGCTAAGATTGCAACATTGCACTCCAGGCTGGGCGACAGTGAGACTCTGTCTCAAAACACAAAACAAGACAAAACAAAAACAAACAAACAAAAAGAAGTTGTTAGGTAAATTTAAGGCCCCTAGATACAAGGTTAATGGTCAATAAACAATTAGAAAATAAAATTTTAAAAACATACCATTTATGGCTGGGTGTGATGGTGCACGCCTGTAATCCTAGCACTTTGGGAGGCCGAGGCAGGCGGATCACCTGAGATCAGGAGTTCAAGACCAGCCTGGCCAACATGGTGAAACCTCCGTCTCTACTAAAAATACAAAAATTAGTCAGCGTGGTGGCATGTGCCTGTAACCCCAGCTACTCGGGAAGCTGAGGCAAGAGAATCACTGGAACCCAGGAGGCAGAGGCTGCAGTGATCCGAGACCACGCCACTGCACATCAACCTGGTGACAGAGCGAGACTCTGTCTCAAAACAAAACAAAACAAAAAATAAATAAATAATAAATTAAAAAATAAAAAACATACCATTTATAATAATATCAAAACATCAAATATTAGGAATAAGTTTAAAGAAAGACATGCAAAACCCTCTACATACTGTCTCCTTCTTAATATGTCTAATCTCACGTAGTATGGTATGGTTCTTCATGGAGGCACCTCACCCTTGTTTTCTGAGAAGCCTGGTGTCCTCAAGAGAGATCCTTTTTGGTTCTGTTACACCAACGGGAAACCTCTAGCTTTCTCCCAAAGTGGGGAGGCATAGTTACTTAGTAACTTGAGGATGGGGTTCTTAACTGCTTTTAGTCCTTGCATTTTCAGCCCCATCTCTTCCCCCAGACATTGAGGATACCTGATTCCTTCAAGCTCAGAGCTTTTCTGTGCTTCTGAGGTACAAACTGATTTGTATCTTGTTGACTCATCTTTTTTCATGCCTAGTTTTCAGCCTTCTCCATACTAAGTCATCTATCACTTCCCTCTTCCAAAGTCTTGTTGTCATCCTGTGTCTGCTGCCATCCTGTGTCTGCCGCCATGTTCTTTCTCCTTTTTGTCCTATGGATTCACACTTAAAAAAATTCTTTTACTGTCATTTTAGTAGGATTGGAGGAGGAAGTAGATATAAATGCATGGGTTTAATCTGCCATGCTTAACCAGAAGTTCCACACAAAATTATCAAAGCAAGGTGATAGGCAGTGATTGTTACGCTTGAGTCCTGTACAAGCTGCTTAACGCCTCCCTGCTGCCTGCTTCACCTGGTTCTGTTAAGTGCTCTTCCTCACAGGCATTTGAGTTCCCTGCTGCTGGACCAGGGGATCTCTGGGGCTCAATCTGGCCTTGAAAACCTGTCTTCACATTTGCTTCCCAGAAGGATCCAAGTTGACTGACAGGAAGGAGACTGGAATCCCCCAGTCCCCCGCTTCATTTATGCAGTTGTCTTTTGGGGCTTGAATGAACACAGACCAGCCTGAACAATGCCATTAATTAAAGTGTGTTCTAATTGATTGGATAATCCCTAGATAGCTTAAGTTTAGAGAGGGGAGAAATAAAGGAAATGGGAATGGATGCAGGAATCTAAATAGAACACTCTTTTTTCTTCTTTCAGGCTCATCCCAACTCTAAGGCACCTAATAAAAAAGATATCCTTGTCATGTTATTTGCCAAGCAAATGGCCATCCTCCCTACCAGTTCTTTGCCTTTCTTCCACTCCCAAACACCTCTAGTGTCTCCTAACTGTGAGGACGTATGGTGCAGTGACCAAGAGTGGGATGTCTTCATTCACACTGGGCTCCGCTTCTTACCAGCTCTGTGATCCTGTGCAAGTTAGTGTACTTCCTTGTGCTTGAATTCTCATCTTCAAACTGGGTCAACAGTAATGGCCACCTTGCTGGTTTTTGTGAGAATTAAATGTGATAATACATAAAAGTGCTTAGAACTGTGCCAGCTACATATTAAGCACTCAGTGCTTGTTAGCCATTAGCTATTATAATTGCTCTGTGTGCTTCTCCGCAAATGAAGGTGAAAGAAGTAATCATTACACCGAAGAGCCCACCACCTACATGAATGATCACGATAGAGTCATATGAGTGTACAGGACACTCTGAGGACAAAAAGAGATATTCACTAGCTCAGTGGGGATTGGTGGTGGGTGGTTGTGGGAAGGGAGTAGAGAGGGGACATTTTGGAAATTATCCTAGAGCAAGTGGTGTTTTTGAATTGAGCCATCACCAGAATGTAAGCACCATGAGGACAGGAACTTATCCCTAGGGCCTAGAACAGTGCTTGGCACATAACAGATGCTCAGTAAATATTTGTTGCATTAATGAATGCGTTATAAGCTGGAGGGTGGGTCAGGTGAGTAAAAACAGAAGAAACAGTGTATGGGAAGGCACCCAGAGAGTGTGTGACACAATGGGAGAAGCGCAAGGGCACAGCATGGCAGGAGCCTGGGGTCTGTGTTGGAGAGTGGAGGCAGGAGAGGCGGCAGGCCCGGGTCCAGAGAGAATGTGGAAGACGTGCTTTGCAAGACACAGAACCGATGAACTGATATCAGTGGAACCTGGGAACTAGGGCCCACATTTTCTTAGACACAATGTCTCAGCTGCAATAATAATTCCAAATAAAATTAATCACGTTTATGTTTTTAGAATGCCTTCCACTCTACAAAACAATGAAGCCCTTTCACATGTATTATCTCATTTCAGAATCACAATACCTTGTGAAGTTGGTGACTTATATATCCCCATTTTACAGACGGGAAAACTGAGGCTCAGAGAGGTTATGTGATTTACCATGGTTACTCAGCTAATTAGTTACAAACCTGGGATTCAGATTAGGAATTTGGACTCAGACCAGTACTCTTTCTCTTATATAACAGTGGTCACATTGGTTTGCATTTCTTTGGAGAGCACAGTGCTTCACTGATTTTTGTTACTGTTGTTCCTGAAATAAATGCATAGGGGACCTACAAGTTGGAAAATAAATGCTCATGTAAGTGTCACCCACATTAAGCAATGGAAAGATTGCCATCGATCGCAGAATGTCTCCCTTTCCTTGGTCTTGTCCCCTTTCTCTCCTCCAGAGGGGATCATTCTCCTGACTTTTATGGTAATCAAATCCTTTCTTTTCCTTCTAGTTGTAGCACCTGTGAATGCACAGACTTGTTCTGTGATAAATCAAATGGTCACTATAATCTGGGTGGTTTTCTGTTAGTCTATAAACTCCTTGAGGGGCCTTCTCTGTGGCTTAATGCATATTCACTTGTCAGATGTTTAGTGAATACCTCCCAAGAAAGAGCCCAGCAACTAAGTTCTATAGAGCCAGAGATTAAAAAAAATAGGCACCATCTTCAAGCTGGAACAATGTCATGGGCACTGCTTTAATAATTTATATGATTTTTAATTAATTAATTAATTTATTTATTGAGATGGAGTCTTGCTCTGTCGCCCAGGCTGGAGTGCAGTGGTGTGATCTTGGCTCACTGCAGGCTCTACCTCCTGGGTTCAAGCGATTCTGGTGCCTCAGCCTCCTGAGTAGCTGGGATTACAGGTGTGCGCCCCCACACCGGGTTAACTTCTATATTTTTAGTAGAGACAGGGTTTCTCCATGTTGGCCATGATGGTCTTGAACTCATGACCTCAGGGTGATCCGCCCATCTCGGCCTCCCAAAGTGCTGAGATTACAGGCATGAACCACCACACCCAGCCAAACTGAGAGTAGTCCCACTGAGCCAGCCAGGAGTCAAGGCTGGAATCTTCTGATTCTTAGTCAGACGCATTATCCATTGAGCCACTGGCCCTGAGCCTGATTTTTAATTAAAAATAAATGGTAATGGCAATATGATAACTGATACCAACCCTGGGATGGGAATACTTGATATCATGTGACTTTTCAAGAAGGGGACTTCATCTGTCCTGCTCAGGTGTCCTTCTCTGTTCTGCAGTGGCAGCTGAGCAACCAGAATGCCAGCTCCTCACTTTGTCAGTGATCAATACCTACAAATTCTAGTTGCAAAATGATGGCCACTTGCCATCATTTTGATTGATGTGTAATCAATAGCAAGTGGCCATTATTTTGCAACTAGAATTTGTAGGCATTGATCACATTCAGAAATGAAGCAATCATTCACATTTTGAAATTCATGGACTCATGAGAATATACGTACAAATGTCCAGCTTGAGAGATTCTTCCTTAAAAGTTAGCACTTGTAGTTCTGGATAATCACCTTAGTGTCAATAAGGTCAACACCCAATTATAACACCAACATCGAAATCTCATGGCAAGGTTCAGTTATCAGTGGCCATCCATGAGAAATAGAATTCACTTAGATTAATTTTTTAAAGGTTAACGTAAAAATTTAAAATAGAAAAACAATCCTTATAGAGAACTTCAAATTCTTGAGGATATTTCTGCAGACCTGTGTGAAAAACAGGGATGTACTTACCTTTGTCAAAGAAAAGGCATAAACTCCCATGTTGACTGGAATTATAGATAACCCAAGACCAATCTGGTTTTGCATACATCTTGATGTCTCTGATCTGAAGTAGGTTTACCTTCGAGTTATGTTTAAGTCACATTCTGCAACACTTGTTGACTCCAGGAAGAACCCTTGGGGGCAAAGGGTGGATAGCTTAGATTATCCTTGGACAATCTACGTGTAATCAATAGCATACTAAGTCAAGGGACCTGTCTTTGGATCCCCAGTGGAATTTTACATTTCAACGAAGAACTGGGAGATGATCTGTTTTTACAATCTGGTTCCCAGTAAATCAAATGCTTCCATTTTTTCTCTGTTTGTTATTTCTCTGACCACCAGTCTCAGTGGAGCAGACAACTCACTGTGCCAGTTTGACCTATGTTCTTTCTAACATATGGAACAGAGTTAATGAGCTTGTTGTGACTACTAGCAGCATTCTGTTCAGAGAACCATAGAATTTCAGAGTAGAACAGATAAAAAACAACATTTCTTAGCTGGATTGTGGCAGCGGGCTCCTAACTTGTTTTCCTGCCTTACTCTTTATCTGATCCAATTCATGTTCCACACAAAATCCTAGTTTCCTTGTGTTGAGTTTCTTAGAAGCAGAGTCTGAGCCAGAGTTTGGGGATGTTTATGCAAGCAAGTTATTGAGAGAGTGCTCTCTTGAGAAAGAAAATGAGGAAAGCGGGACATGGCAGAGGAAAAAATGCAAGGGCATGGTCTCAGCTAAACCCAACTTCAGCTTGATCTCGTGGGATGCTCTGGAGTAGAAATGGCGTCACACAGGTGGCCCACTTTGAAACAAGGGAGTCAACCCTTTGTACTCCATGTCAACCAGTCATTAGCTGTGGGCTGCCCAGGCTAATGGAGGGTGGACTGAGGGCAATTCACTTCTTAAAAGAAGGCGGCAGCTCTGAATATTAGCAGCTAACACTCAGAACACTGGGGAGGGTGCCCACCCTAGAAATGAAGATATGGACTGGGCACCAGCTGTGTACATTACACTAGGTAAACTTGAAAGGTCAATTTGATGCTGACAGCTGGTAAATTGACTTGCCCAGGAGCACATAGCTACTGTTGTAGTATTTGGTGACTTGCCCCATGCCATGTAGCCTATAGTTCAAATGCTTAATCTGAGATTAAGTTTTATGGGTTGAAGCAAAAACAAAAAACAAAACGCAAATATTTCTCATAATTCAGGCAGGCTTGGTGGTGACAGTGGCAAGTGTGGAAGGGAAGAAGCCAGGACTGGCCCAAACAGAACTGACTAGTTAGATCACAGACGTTAGAGGAGGGTAGCCTTTTTTTTTTTCGAGATGGAGTCTTGCTCTGTCACCCAGGCTGGAGTGCAGTGGCATGATCTCCGCTCACTGCAACCTCCGCCTCCCGGGTTCAAGCGATTCTCCTGCCTCAGCCTCCCGAGTAGCTGGGATTACAGGCACCCGCCACCATGCCCGGCTAATTTTTTGTATTTTTAGAAGAGACAGGGTTTCACCATTTTAGCCAGGATGGTCTCGATCTCCTGACCTCATGATCCACCCGCCTCAGCCTCCCAAAGTGCTGGGATTACAGGCATGAGCCACCATGCCCTGCCTGAAAGTAGCATTTTAAAAGACTATTCTGTGAGTTGGACCCAACAATGGGATATCTAGAAATGGCATTCTTAAAAGTCAGACGGGTAACAGAGTAATTCTGGAGTAGGACACAAAGGGCCCAGGTATCACCCCAACCTAGACCTGTGATAACACAACTGATCTGGACCCTGTCCACTGAAAACGATGGGACTTCTGATATGCTCTGTGTTGATGCGGGTTGACGTGGGGACTGTGTGGGACTGGACCTCAAAGACTTAGTTGAACAGGAACAGGTAAGGCAGGGGTTAGTAGGACCTAAACTTTGATTCAAATCTTTAGTAAAAGATAGTATTTCCAAGTTGAGAAGCCTGAATAAAGAGTTGGGTCTCAAGGGTAACTGTATTATTTTTGTGTTACAAACTAGTTGTTGCTTCATTTTGGTGAGAATTATGCTTTTCCCTGAAGTCCCTGGATGGTTTGATGATCTTGATAGCAATTATAAATGTGGTCTGAAACGGGTGGCAGATGAAAGGCACTGTCCCTGCGGTATATATCCCTGTGTGCTCTATTGACTGGCAAATATGGCGCAGAGAATTTCAAGCATAATGATTGTTCAGCCAACTAGATCCAATCTTATTTTTAAAAGCTCTTTTCTCTCAGAGCTAATGTGTTTGTTCCTGACTCTTTCTGATCAGTGGGGCATCGAGTTTAAGGAGCAGATTGGAAATTGTTTTATTGATTTTTTTCTCTTTTTATTTACCAAAGATGAGAGAGAATTTCTCTTCCCTGAGTGTTGTTCAGCTACGAGTCCAGTTAAGGACATTAGGTGGTTTGGGTAGAGTCAATTTGGAAACATGGCATCCTGACTTCGCTGCCCTGGTGGAGTAGTAGAATGACTTCAGTCTGCTGACTAATGGGCAAAGGCAAGTTTTCTTTATGGTCTTGGCTTCAGTGGTCATTGGAGGTTAGCGACTGCAATGCTGAAGCTCTCAACAGCCTCTGGAATGGCATCAGAGGTCCCAGAGTCTCACCAGCCCCTTGGAGATCATGCTGTGGGACTGAAAAGGTTGTGCTTTTGGCTCAGATCCAATTATCTGATTCAGAATCTTCCTTTCCTCCCTGGTCCCCATTCTTTCATCAGGAGGAAGAATGAGAAGGAGTTGATTTCTGCTGAATCCAGGAGAAAGAGCTTTCCTCACTACTAACAAGACAGAGGTGTTGAACGAGAAATGGAAACTCATTTCCCCCCTCAGTTTTTTTCTTTCTTGCGTACTTTTCCAATGCCACTTCCAAATTCATAGTGAATAGCATGATTAGGAGGTTTTCACATGGCCCTCTCTGTTTTTTATTCCTCTAAATGATTTTTAAAGTTGTCCAAGGTGAAAACTTTTGTGTGCTTTATTAGAAAACATTAATTACTTACCAAGACACTGTGCTAAGTAGCTTTCCACACATGACCTCATTTAATCCTCAAAAGAACTCTGTGAATTAGGTTATCATGACTACCTCCAATTTACACAGCCCGGAAGTGTGGGAGCTGGAATTAAAACAGAGGCATATCACCTAGGACTTCAGGGCCCATGCTCTCTACCACCTCCCAGTTCATTGAGAGTGAGGATAAACCTAACTGATGAGCCTGCTGTGGGGGTCTGGATTCATGGTATAGTGCCTCCCCCACCCCCGATCCCCCACCTAGCCAAGGTTTTATTGTGGAAACCAAGGTGAACAGAAAAGGCTGATCAGAATGGTCAGAGCCAGACAACCCCACAGAAGTGCAGCACGTTGATTTCTGACTATTTATACAACCCCATAGGACACTCCCCATTCACTGAGGCTGGCTGGTGGGAGACAACTCTTAAGTGTAAGAGAAAGATGCACGTTGGCTAGCAGGGAGCACTTCATCATCATGATGGAAGGAAGACCACTCATTAACTTGTTGGACTTGTGGACCACTTCTTGCCTCATGTTGACCAAAACCATGTGAATAGGTTTTTAGCTGTAGCTGCTCCTTAGCCCTCAGAGTTCTGGGAATAGTAGAGACCCTGGAACTAGTGTTGAAGGAAGTGCCCTGCTTTCCATCCCCTATGCACTCAGACCATGAGAGCAGCTCTTCCATGATATAAAAATGTGAAGACGTTACATATGTACTCCATTAAATTGAATCAGTGTCCTCTTAACTTACGTGTGTTTGATGTGGCCTTTTCAGTTCGTAAGCACCACCCATGCTTTGCATATATGTAGGGACATAAAGGCAATTAAATTGTAGTTCTCAACCCGGTGCACATAAGAATCACTTGTAAAGCATGGAAATGCCCAGGTCCTACCCCAGACCAATTAAATCAGTGTCTCTGGGCATGGGGTCCAAACATCAGGATGTGCTTGAAGCTTTCCAGGTGATTCTAATGCGATGCTTTCCAGGTGATTCTCAGCTGGTTCTAAGAATTGCTGGATGAAAGCTAAGTCAACTGTGAAAATGTGCTAACAAACCGTGTCTCAGGTAAACTATTGTTAAAAGGAAAAAGCTTAGACAAGTTAAATTTAACAGCTTAGTTGAGCAAAGAACAATTTGCAAATCTGGCAGCCCTCAGAACCAGGCAGGTTCTAAGAACTCAGGTCAGGCAGCATTTATGAACAGAACACGGAAGTGAGGTACGAAGTTGGCTTAATTGGTTACAGCTTGATGTCTTGCCTTATTTTAATCAGTTAGCCACCTACGATTACTGAAGATCCCTTGCTGTGATTGGCCGAGACTCAGCTATTTGTTACAAGAGTATACTCCTACTTAGGCTTTCGGTTAGTTTACACACTAAGTTAGGTTGCAGTTCTTTATGTAAGGACTCAGATTTGGAGGCATCCTCGGGCCATGTAGTATAACACTATGATATATGTGGAAGCTTGATCCTTAGTGTGTAGTTCTGTTGATCAGCCAGGAAGGTTATCTTGGTGGTGGCAGTGGAGTTGCCCAAAATGATAGCTTTGTGGAAGCAAGGTAAGGGCATTGGTGGTGGTATTGTTTGAAGGTTTGGGGTTATAGGGGTGCAGGCACATAAGGGTGTGGTGGCTGCTGGAATTATGGCAGCTCACTGGGCAAGATTGTGGCTTTGGAGACATACAGGGCAGCGGTAGCAGCCCCAGGCCAAGGGAGTACACACAAAGGAAGGAGCAGGAGAACAGGCCTCGCAGGGCTTCAGACAGAGATTTATGTCCTACTGGAATCCCTATTAGATGTCACCTTTTGATATTTGCAACATGAACTACTTTAGAAAAATATCCCTCAGGAACGTTTAAAAGGGTGTGTGTGCACGTTTATACAGATGATAACAAAGTGAGGGCCTTGCAGAGGGTGTGGCATCCAGAATGTCTACATGTTCTTCATTATTTATCTGCAACCCCTGTCCCGCCCTCTCATCCCCCAACAGGAATGACAGAGCGTTGTAATTAGTCCAGAATTTAAGCCTAGGAGGAGGCAGAATTTTGAACGTTCCTCAAGGGAAAACAAAAGAAAAACAAAACCCTTCATTCCTGAACCTAGACCTTGTGTCTTGCAGAATCCTGGCTTGCTCGTGTGGTCACAAAGGAGCTGGAATGGAATGTAGGGACGTGGCTGGGCCCTGTTCTGTGTATGATTGGAGACTGGCCATTCAAGCATTTCAAGCATTTGCTGTGCTTGGGAACTACCAGGTCTGAGAGGCTCAGAGAGGGTAAGGCAGGCCCCATTGACATTTCATGACATGATCTTGTCTTCCATCACTAGAGATCAATGGCTGTCCCTTAACAATCCCCGTCTCTCCCCTCAAGGAGGCATAATCAAGTGAAGAGGATAGAGAACACGCACAGCCATCTGTAGGGCAATGCTGTTTACACAGTGAGGCAATTCCCCCTGCATCCTCACAGTGTTGTTATGACAATCAGTTAGCTAACATAAATATTATGTACAATAACAGTTAAGGTGTTAGCATTGTCTAAATTCTGGATATTAAGCTATATTTCAGCTGTGTTCTCATATTTTTCATGTCAGAACCTGATGTTTAGTGCAAAATCACCTACACTTTAGAAGTGAGGTGAAGCCTGCAGGAACAGAAAGCTCTTGAACACCATGCCAAGAGCGTGCTGTTACAATATTTATACATGGTCTGGTTTGAACTGGCTTCTTAACTATAGTCTTCTTCCCTACCTCCCTCCTTCAAACAAAATGATGAGACCAACTTTGACATATGGAAGAATTTCTTCAGTGCAAATTATTCCAGAGGAGAAAAACAAAACATGATTTGCAAATGCTGTCAAGGAAATGTTTCTTTCAAAAGGCTACGAGCAGGATATATTGGTGTGTGAGGATTGTCTTAAAGGTATGTGTGCTGTGAATGAGAGGACCATGATAATGAGTGCCAGGTACATTACCCATGGTCTCCACCCAGATGGTTTGCTGTGATGCTCTCATGACGTTAGAACTGTCACCTCCAAATCCTCAAGAAATCAAATATTCCAGGGAACAAAAAATTCCTACACCCCTGTCTTCCATCATCTGTAGACAAGATGTCACCTGGATATCACTAGATACCTTGGCCAGGCTCTCCCAAGAGCTGCCTACTCTTGGATGTACTACTTAATAACCTTAAAAGCATTCTTAGAAGGAATTTTCAAATTATGAAGTCCATCTTATTTTCCCAGCAGACTCTTTGAGTGAATCTCTTCTCAGTCTTACTGAGTGGGAAATAGGATCGGGGCAAAGGAAAAACAGCCATGCTCTTATCTCATGGCACTTTCAGGTGGGCAGGACAATGTGTAGGGAAAGGCATCATTGCTTTGGTGACACCTAAACTGGTTGTCCAGCAGTGCTGATCCAGGAACCAGATACACTATGGAGCAATTTTGCCGTGAAATGCATGAAAAGCAGAATAATGCAGTGGATTACAGCATAGATTTTGAAGTCTGACAAAATTGGCTCTGTCATTTACTTGTCAGATGATTTGGGGTGAGGTACTTAACCTCTCCAAGCCTGAATTTGTTTAGCTGTAAAATGCAGGATAATAATAGCATCTTTTTCATAGGGTTATTATAAGGCAAGGGCAATAACGCAAGCTGGGGGCTTTGCACAGGCCATGGTGCTCTATAAGCAGCTGGCACGTGTGAATCGGGCTCTACTGAGAGAGGTGAAGCTGAAGCATTTGCTTTGCCAGCTGACAAAATAAGTCTCATCATGTCTGTAGCCAGATGGGAGGTTACAATAGATAAATAGTCATGTATGAGTGCAACAGGGTATGACCTCCTGGTTTAAATGTGCTTTTTTATGACATCATGAAGTTGGGAACTGTCCAGATGATATGTAGATGAACAGAGACTGTTACAAACATGTAAAACTACCAGTTAACCACTTGAAGATGTCTTCCCAAAGTACCAGGAAAAACATTGCCTAAGGTGAAATAGAAAGAAAAACTGTTAAAGAATCAAACAAAAATTCTTAAAAATTCATTTTAATTTTTGTCAACTTTATGCAAATATCTAGTTTTAAAAATCAACAAGTAGTACAAAGTTTCTATTGAAAAACTATAGGTCCCTGTTCACCCCATTCACCTTAGAGTTCCACCCACCATGGGCAAAGTCTTTCGACTCTATAAATTTTTTAAAATTTATCTTCTATTTCTAATAACATACAATATACTGCTCGTCAGTGAGTTTTCAGTTTTCTATATCCATTGACTTCCATTTCCTCAAATGTCTGGTGATTCTTGGCTGATCATTGGTATTATATTGAGCAAGGCATTGGAAGGCTGTTGGAAGCACAGCGGGTGGGAGAGAACCTTGTCAACTGGGCAGGCTCACTGCACAGGAATGAGGATGGGTCTCAGCCCCCTTGACAGGAGCTCTCAGATATCAGGCTTCTAATTTCCTCCATTCTGGGAAAGTGACCAGGCCAGTGGTGAGGTGTTATAAACCTGAAAGTTTGTCTTCCAGAAGCCCATAGGAGAAGGAAAAAGGGGACTTCACCCTTCCCTGTCCCAAGTTTCTCTTACTTCCTCTGCTTCCCTTGTGCACTACCTACTGCCTTAGTTGTATCTAGTGCCCCCAGTTCATAGCCACTCAATAGCTTTTCCAGATAGCAGACCTCCAGGCTTCTCTGTGGTGGGAACAGGGGAATCACTGAAGGCTAGAAATGGGGAAAGGGGTCTGAGGGCCTGAGCACTCCATATGCAGGCTTTCACCCTCTCATCCTGGCTTCAACCCCACTCTGCAGGCCACTTGCAAGAGATATTAAACCTTCATTTCCTGAGCTTTTGCATTGTGAATTTGCTTGCTTCTTGCTGGTTCCCTCCTTCCACCCAAGCAGGTAAACTAGACAAATCTGAACTCAGGTCAGGATGGAAGGGCAGTTGCTGACTTGCTTTCCATCTTTAGAAAATTTTGTTGATCCTGTCCCCTTTGTCTCTGTGGGCCTATGTCCTTTTTATTCCTTTGCTATAATTTTAGTGAGGTTTGAAATGGAATCAGACATAAATGCCAGGATTCAATCTACCTGGAAAACCCCTCCATAACTTGTCAATGGCCTTTTTTTTTTTCTTGTCAATAGCCTCTGAGAGGCTACTAACAATTAAAAAAATAACCCATAGCAATCAAACATTAATCAGAGGTTTCCTATATGGGAAATTGGAATTCAGGTAGAGTGAGAGGAGGGAATTTTATTTTTTCTGCTACACACTTTTACATATAATTATATATATACACACATATATTTAAATCAAACCACTCATGATAAAAACAAGATGACTTCAAGCAGCTTAGTCATCTGTGGTAGTTGTTGCCCAAAAATCACACTTGGGCTGGGAGTGGTGGCTCATACCTGTAATCCGAGCACTTTGGGAGGCTGAGGTGGGAGGATCACTTGAGTTCAGGAGTTCGAGACCAGCCTGGGCAATGTAGTGAGACCCTGTTTCTTAAAAAAAAAAAAATCACACTCGCACACTTGTACCACAGCATAATACTGTGGTTAGGACTGAAATTTCCATTATTTTATTCTCATTTTGAATTCTTTAAAGTTCTGAGGAAGAATTTTTTTATGTTATTTTATGCCACTTTAAAATGGCTTTCTGGCAGCAGAACCAATTTTTACTTAATCTGAACAAAAATTACAAAGTTGACCAGGTCTCCGAAATAAGAATGTTTTGTATGATGATGTCATCTGGACTCTAACTACATTCTAACTTCAGGATAACTGACTGGATATTACAGAAAATCCGACGAAAGTAAAGCTAAAGCTGTCAGTAAGGCATGAGGAACATTTTGCCTTTATCTGTTGCAAATATCTTGGGTCCAAGAGTAAAAGGCATAAAGTCAGTACTTTAGTGGCAGTAACTCACTAAAAACCGAGAGCAGGTGAGTGTAAAGCCATGATTTGAACGCCTGTGGGTCCATGTTGGTCTTAGCCACCACACCACACACAGGAACCAACTGCCTCAGGACAAAGCCAGATGAGAATGGGTAATTCAGCCTAGGGTGTTTGGGGAAAACTTTATCAAAAATGTGACACCTAGGCATAGTCACTGCTTAACAGGGGCAGGGTCTACTTAAGGCTATTCACTGGCCTCTGTGAGTTCTAGAAGAAATGTGGGTTTGTAGGTGGTAAAGGATTTGCTATCAGTCTTCCTTTTCCTCACTGTAGATAATAAAATTTGATTTCCAGCAAGGAATGACACTCTGCTTACAAGCTTAAAATCGCTGGACTACAAAGTTACAGTGATCAAGTCAGTACAGTATTAGCACGTGGATAGACTCACAGATCTTTGGCACAGACCTGACAATCCTGAAAAGCTCATCTTTATATGGCTAATTGATTTTCAATAAAGGTGTCAAAGTAATTCAATGGTCGAAGAATTGTCTTTTCAATATATGGTGCTGGAACAACTGATTATTTTTGCTATCATATCTCCTTTTCCTCATTGTATATAATAAAGCTACTCTTAATTTTCATATGAGGTATGATTCTCTACTTAGAAATTTAAAATCGTTGTACCACAATGGACTTAAATATCAACACAGAGGAAATTTGAAAAAGTCCCAAATATGTGGAAATTGAAATAAGACACTTATAAATAATCTGTGAATCAAAGAAAAACATCACATGGGGAATTAGAAATTATTTTGAACTAAAAGGAAATGAAATGTATCAAGATTTGTAAAAGGTAGCTAAAACAATGCTTAGAGGGAAGTTAATAGCTTTAAATGCTCCCATCAGAAAAGCAGAAAGGTTTATAGTCAATGAACTAAGTTTCCACCTTAAGAAACTAGAAAATGAAGGGCAAATTAAATCTCCGAAAAGCAGAAGGAAGAGAATAAGAAATATGAGAGAAGAAAACCGATGAAATATAAAACAGATAGCCAAATGTCAACTACTGGGTGAATAGATAAACAAAATATAGAATAACCACATAATAGAATATCAGCAATAAAATGGGATTAACTGCTGATGCACACATCAACATGGATTAATCTTAAAAACATCATGGTGAATGAAAGAAATTAGACACAAAAGACTCCATACTGTATGATTCCATTTAGGTGGAGTTCTGGAAAAGGCAAAAACTACGGTTGTAGAAAGTATATCAGTGGTTGTCTTGTACCCTAGTAGCAGCAGGGATCAACTGCAAATAGGTGCAAGAGAACTTTTTGAACTACACCCTTTAAATGAATTGTATGTAATTTACACTTTAATAAAATATTTAAAAATTACTGTAGAAAGCCACGTGCTGAAGGCAAAAAAGCTGTTTGTATTTTGCTTTTCTGCCTCCAGGACTCTTGAAAAGCATTTGCTTTCCCTCCTTTGTGGTAGCAGTGCATAATGGCACATATTTTTGGGCTTAATTTACAGGACTTTTCACATTTGTGCATCTGTGTACTTTTAGATGGAGTTGAACAAACCTTTCCTGGTGGTATTATGGTAAAGTGGGGGATAAGCCTAAATCCAGATCTGACTTGATTATTTTAAGAGACATTTAAAAAAATACCCTAGTTTGTCACCCAAAAATTGTCTGGAATTTTTGGCTAGCATTCTTTTCAGAAAAAGTTTACATGTTTGTTTATTTGCATTTGTATAGACTTCATAGTATACCTGTGAACATGCACACACACACACCTACCCATCTACCCACCCACACACACATACAAAATGCTCTTGTTTAATGTATTGGTGAAGAGAATGATTCCTGTTTCTACAAATGGCCATATTTAAGCTTCTGGAGAATTAATCGTGAGAATCTGAATGTTCTTTATTTAATGCCAATATTTGGGTTACTCTATGGTTGATAATTATTTTTAGAAAGTTTCTTGAGGTCCAGAGCTCAACAACAGGAAGAAACAGTAAACTTTTTGTGTCCTGGGCAACAATGAGCTGGAATAAACATCACTGCTTTTGAGAAATAATACCTTGTTGTCTTGGTTTCTTCTAATCTTTCCTTTTTTCTTCCTCTCACTTTCTATTTCACTCCCTGTCTTTTACACACACACATACACCTTCATAGTAATTGTGACATTTGGAGCTGGAAATGAAGAGAGCAAGATAAAAGTCAAAGCAATCAAGGGCAAAATTTTAAATGAAGTATTTTCACTTCTAGGATTTTATTCTAAGGAAAAATTAACTACATAAAGTTTAAGCTATAAGGTTCTCATCTCACTTTTGCATGTGATAGTGAAAAGCTATAAATGACCTATGTGTTATGTAAGGATTTTATTAAACTACTGTAAATTTTATACAGTGGAATAGCATGCAGCCATGAAAAACCATGCTGTAGAAAAATATTTAATAGAAATATAGTTATAATCTAAAAAGTAAAAAGTGTAGCTTTCACAATTGTATAATCTATTTTATAGTATATAATTATTTTATATGCCAATATATTTTAATTTGTAAACATAATTTTTAAGCATATGCATTATGTACTTTATGTTATATACATAAATTATATAATTTATATTATGCCAATCATATTTTTCTATGCCTATATTGACATATAGAGCAAAAATAAAAGAATATGGAAGCTGTTAAAATGGTTGAGTGGTAGAAAATGGAAATTTAAACATTTTTTATTTGCTTGTTTATTTTCTAAATTTTCTTCAATGAATATTTATATTTCTGATAATTTTCAACAAAGACAATGTCATAAAAAGGACGTAAAAGAAAGCTAACTGTATGCATTTCCTCTGGCTTCCATAACAAATTACCACAAACCAGGTGGCCTAAAATAAGAGAAATTCATTCTCTCACAGTGTTGGACCCCAAATGTCTGATATCAAGGTGTGAGCTGTGCCCCGCTGTCTCTAAAGGCTCTGGGGGGTAATCCTTGCCCCTCCCAGCTTCTGCTGGCTCTAGGCATTCCTTGGACTGTGGCTGCTTTGATTTCAGTCTCTGCCTCCATCTTTACAGGACTTTTCCTCTTCTCCCCTTCTCCCCATGTTTCTCCCTCTGGACTTAGGGTCGACCCAGATAATCCGAGATGATCTCGTTTAGCAATCCTTAACTAAATTACATCTGCAAATACGATTTTTCCAAATAAGATGACATTCACAGCATTCAGAGGTTAGAATGTAGACACATTTTTTGTGGGGGGGTCACCACTCAATCACTACACAAACCAATCTTTAGTTTTTTGGTTTTTTTTTTTCTTTTCTTCAAGACAGAGTCTCACTCTGTCATCCAGGCTGGAGTGCATTGGTGTGATCTCTGCTCACTACAACCTTAGCCTCCAGGTTTCAAGTGATTCTTCTGCCTCAGCCTCCCCAGTAGCTGGGACTATAGACGTGTGCCACCATGCCGGCTAATTTTTGTATTTTTAGTAAAGATAGCGTTTCACCATGTTGGTCAGGCTGGTCTTGAACTCCTAAGTGATCCACCCACCTCAGCCTCCCAAAGTCTTGGGATTACAGGCGTGAGCCACTGCGTTCGGCCTCTAGTTTTTAAAAGTAAGAAATAGTGATGAAAAAAATTCATTGCCTGTTTGATGAATTTAGCAGTCTGTTTACTTTTGACATTATTTGAAAGCCAAAAAACAATCATGAGGGAAAGCAGGCACACAGACAAGATAGAAGAGCAGTGCTGTTATGGCACTGACCCCCTCTGATTCATATTTTTTTAAAGATCCAGTTTTATTGTCAAAACTCATAATAAATCTTATCCACCAAAACTGTTCTGATGACCCGAAAATTTTTTGATGAAATATAAGAGACAGAAAAAGTAAATTGGTTTATTTTTAAATTGTCAAACCATCATAAAATCAATAAAAAGTGAAAACATGGATATATTATTGTTTTGGTATCACTATCCCAAGCTCAATGTCAAAGTAAATTTAGACTAAAACCCTTCACTTTTTATGATTCTGGAAATTATTATGTGAGGAAAGGGGCAGTATATAATTTGAAGTTGCTTAATAAATTTGTATTGGGCAAGTACAAAGCACTGATGCTTGGGCCCAGGTTGAGGGGCCTTGGTAGGCACTTAAATTGGACTCAGAAAGTGTTCTTGGTCACTCTTGAGTGGAAGGGGGTTTGGCCGAGATGAAGTCTGACTGCAGAGTCTTTCCTGAGACGGCTGGTAAAATAATTCCCGGATTCTACTCTAGACTTGCTGAATCTCTGGGGTGTGGCTTGCTTTCTTATCAAGCTTCAGGTTGTGTTTAGGAACCCTGAAGTTTGCAAACCACTGTTCTTCAGGACTGCTACTGCCTGTTATCCTCTTAATTCATCGAAGTCTTAGAAGAGAAATGCTTTAAAAATCCCACGATTGAGTTAACTGATAGCAGCTTAATATATTGTTTCTAAAGTGTTTGCATTTTAAAAGTCTTGATTACAGAGGTCCATTTCTTCACCCAAAGGAATAAGCCTTAAGTGCTGTTCTTGTAGGAACCCTGGTTGGCAAGTGTGGATAAGGGGGTGTTTACAGCCTGTGGGTAAATGTGGTTTCCCTAAACGCAGGGGTTGAGTTTGCCTCCATGACTGTGGGGAAACCTGGCCAGGCCCACTGTGGGATCCCTGAACTTTGGGAGCTGCACTAACTCACTTATGCTCTTGGTTATGTGAGTCATTCTATACTTTTCAATTTACTAGTTTGGAAGTCAGTCTCAGTGGAGAAAAACATCAATGATGTTCAAGCCACTATTCACTCCCACCTTTGAATCATAACAGCCTTTGTGGTCTGGACTAGCTCATCTGTGTGATTCTAGATCAGCAGTTGCTAAGGTGCATTTACTAAAACACTGGTCCATTTGTTTTCCAATAGCCATTTATTGAACTGCTGCTATGTACCCAGCTCTATTTTAGGCATTGGGGTTATAGCAGGGAATCAAAGAAGATATATGCTTTCATGGGGCTAATGATCTAGTTGTGAAAGGTATAAGCAGATTAAAAAATAAATAAAAGGGTAAGAGGGATTTGTGGCCAAATATCTTTGTTAACGGCAGAGTTTCTCATGTGCTTTAATATATTATTGTGCTTTATAAATGGGATAGTGGGGGCAGGGTTGAAGATATGCGATGTAGCATTTAAAAAATAGATTTGACCATGGGGCCTCTTTACTAAGGGAGTCCCAGAAAAATACTTTGACAAATAGATTCTAAAATCTTTAGAGTAAGAGTGTTTCTCCATGTTGTCATTGTTGTTCCTGGATTCAGTGGGGGTAGAAGCCTGTTTTTCATAAAATTCAGAGATATCATTTCTTCTCTCCTTGACTTTCTAGTACTGTTGTGTATTTATTAACAAATCACTTCACCAATGCTTAAAACATGCTAACGTTAGTCCATAATGCTCTTAAGGCCAAATGAAGTAAGGGAGGCTGGTGTCCTCACCCTCATGTAATAAAAATGGAGAAAGAGGAAGAAAAAAATCTTGAAATAATGATAACCATAATAGAGAGTGTGAACCGGAATTCTATGATAGCCTTCATGACCTTCACCCCTGGCATTACTCCTGTAGATCATGTTATCTTACTTGGCAAAAAGGATTTTGCAGATGTATTTAACATTACTAATCAGTTCACCTTAAGACAGGGAGATTATCTGGTGGGCCTAACCTAATCACACAAACCCTTTTAAAAGCTAAGAGTTTTCTCTGGGTGATACCTGGATTTCAGCCTTGTGATATCCTGGGCAGAGAACTCAGCCATGCCAGCTGGGACTTTTGACCTTTAGAACTGTAAATCTTGTGTTAAGCTGCTAAGTTACTGGCAATTTGTTACATAGCAATAGAAAACTAAAACACAAAGCTAAAACACAACCATGCCTTTCATTTTTTTTTTTTTTTTTGATACAGTCTTGCTCTGTCACCCAGGCTGGAGTGTGGTGGCACGATCTCTGCTCACTGCACCTCTGCCTCCTGGGTTCAAGCAATTCTCCCACCTCAGCCTTCCGAGTAGCTAGGATTACAGGTGCCTGCCACCATGCCCAGCTAATTTTTGTATTTTTAGTAGAGATGGGGTTTCACCATGTTGGCCAGGCTGGTCTCGAACTCCTGACCTCAAGTGATCCACCCACCTCGGCCTCCCAAAATGCTGGGATTACAGGCACGAGCCACCACACCCGGCCTAACAACCATGCCTTTCATTTGACAAATGAAGGAAGGAAAGTCTATGGAAATGAACAAATACCACCAGTATATTTGTTCACTGAATATGAGTGTCTTAGATCCTTAAGGCCACTTCCTGAGGTCACTTCCAACTGTGAGATGCAATAGTTTTAACAGCTACCTCTCTGTCTCCTGGAGAATTATCTAGCAGAGCATTTTAATTACTCATGTGGTGTGCATTTGATTCAGCCCTTCCCTTCAAACAGCTCACACAGTCTGATGAGGGCAGCAGCCGAGTGAGCAGAGCCGGTGTGTGTGCGAAAGCTGTGCAGAGCTGTGTGCAGGAAGGACAGACTAGCCTGTGCATGCTTTGGGTGGAAAAATGCAGACTTTCTATGAGGAGTTTGGTGATATGTGATATTATTAAACCCTATTATTACCTGCAGGCTCAAGGATGAGTTCATGAACTTCAGGCTGGTGACCATTGATCCTTTTATTGATGAGGAAACAGAGGTCAGAGAGAGCAGCTATAACTTGCCCAAGATCATACTGAGAAGTATTCAGAACCTGATGATGAACTCAGATCCACCCACCCCGACAGCAGTTCTGCTGCTGCTGCATGTCTTTTTTTTTTTTTTTTTCCTAAAAAGAAGCCAATCTTTTCCCCTCACCTGTAAAACTTTACAAAGGACAGCAGAGAACAAAAACCTTTCGTCCAGAACAGTTCAGTTTCAAGGAAGAGAAACTCACTGGAACAAGCAGGCGTCCTCGGGGAGCTTCTGATGGCTCGGGGAACCTAATGCTACCAGCCTACTCCTTCCTTCCCCCTGGGCTACGCTGGCCATTTTCTCTGCTCTTCTGCACATCCATCCCTACATTTATTCCCCCGCAGCCCTGAGGCCTCCACACGGTGTAGCCTCTGAATCTAAAATCCCCAGTGTGGCTCCTCCTGGCTGACTTGGTCTCCCATTGTCATTTCATGTTGCTGTCCAGCAGGGAAGAAATTGAGGCACCTGGGGTCAGTCATCCACCTTGGCCTGGGGGTGGGGAAGTCTTTATGAAGGTGGGATAGCATCTTTAAGAAGTATATTAGGAAGATAACCATTACAAGTGCCAAGTAAGGGTGGCTGCTATCTGGATGGATGTAGCTCATTTAAGAAACTACCTCTTCCCTGGCAAGATAAGCCATATTCCAAAAATCTCATTCTCTTCCCTCCCATTCTCTATGAACCCTATTACCCAAAGACTATTTATGCTGCTTCCTTTGCTGCTTAATCTCTAATTCAGGTCTTTCATCATTCAGCTTTCTCATTTATGTTTTTGTCTCTCCTCCTTGGATTGGAATACCCATGGAGGGCCTGCAGGGGCATACATTTCATGGTGACGTATGGTCCCTGGCATCTTCTTTTTCTTCATTTGCCCAAAGAGCAGCCCCAGTGTTGATGTGTCCTGGCTTTGAGGGCAAGGACCAAACAGCCATGGCTGGAATGATGGTGGCCAGATGGGATGGTGCTGGTGGTATTTGCTCCAAGGGCCCGGCTGCTTGGCCAATGTGAATGCCAGGTGATATCCGTGAACAAGACTGCCTGGGCTCCAGGGCCACATTCAGCTCTCCAGCTCTTCCTGTGATTCACCCTCACTGGGGGCTGTTGAATCACTATAACCAGCAAAAGCCACTAATACTTGGCACTGAAATTTAATAGCTCCTCTAGCCTAGGGACTTCATTAACTGGAGGGAGAATCAATGACAGGCTCTTTATGACCCTGGGCTTCCTACTTAGAGCTCCCTAGACCACATTGTCTGAGAGCAGGAGCTGCTGCCATCTTGGGAGGGACATTTGAGAGATAAAAATTTATTTTGTTGTAATACATCCCTGGATATTCATTCCTCTTCTCCACAACCCAAACCAACATCCGTGTAGCAAGATGATTGTAATCTGTCTTTTGGAAGATAGGAGAACAATTGATTACAGATATTTGGGAAAGTCTGACCTGGGCAAGCTAACAGCCATGATGTTGTTAGCATCCTCACTCTGTCTTTGGGGAAGTATGTGTTTAGTAGCATTGCCAGTCTATGTTTGCTTGTTAATTGCATCCCTAAGCAAACCAATTTAAAGTGTAGGAAGTGCTCCTTTGTTTTCTATGAGTCTGTTTCACATTTGGCTTAACCCTTCTCAATTCCAATCAACCCTTCAAAACATTTCCTGCTAAAAAGTTGGTCTGATGACTGTGGATTAAATGTGTGGGTTTGGCTTCAGAAGGTCTGGGTTCTAAGCCTTGCTTGGCTCATAACTCACAGTGTAAGGTTGTGCAGGTCACCCTTAGGAGGATGAAGATAACTAACCCTGATTATCATCAAAAGATAAAACTTATCGGAAGTCGCTTTACTTTTCTGAGCCCGTATCCTCATTTTCAGAAGGTGGCACAAACAAGGGTTTTGGAGCAGACAGATATGGGTTCCAATCCCAGCAAAATCATTGATTTTGGTCTTGAGCCAGCTTGTGGTCTCATTTTCCTTTTCATGAAGAAGTAGGGAGGGTATTACCTCATTGCATTACATTAGGGTTCAGTGAGAAGATTAAGGTAAAGCCCCCCCCACTCCGTGGCATATCCTGTCCCCTTATTCACCTCTATTTTTTTCAAAACATTCATCAATTTTTAGATTCTATAGAATTTTCTTATTTATTTGTTTAGTATCTATCTCTCCCACAAGCTCCACAAGGGCAGGGATTTTTGTTCATTTTGATCACTGCTATATCCCCAGTTTCTGAAATAGTATCTGGCATATAATAAGCATTTCATAAATACTGGTAAGATGGAATGTTAAATGAATATGATTCTTGTCACTAAGAAGGGTCAGCTAGTAAATATTTTAGGCTCTAAATATTTAGGCAGGCCATAGAGTCTCTGTCACAACCACTCAACTTGGATGTTGCGGTATGTGTGACAGCTGCCTCATAGATAATACATACACAAATGGGTGTGGCCGTGTTCCTATAAAACTTTATAACAACAGGCCTTGAGTGGGATTTGGCCTGCAGGCTTCACGAGGTTGCCCATCCCAGGTGTAGACCCAGTTAGTGCTTCTGAATTCTGTTGTGTCATTCTAATTCAGGAACAGCCCCTGTTTGGCTCCCTCTATGAGGAAGAAATAGGAAAACTCACCCTGGGTCTCCTCTCTTGGCCCCTCTTGCCCTGTTCTAGGGGGCTGACCCCAGGGCTTTATCCAGTTCCTTTGCTCTCTGGCTTCTGGTTGACTTCAGTCCTTGAGAGATTATGGCAGGTTCAGAACCTGGAGTAGAGAAAAGTTGGGGAGTGTATTTCTAACTCCTTCCTTCATGGCAATGGTTTGGGGAGACCGAGCTCTTCTCCCATGGCCCTAGCATTGTGCAGGTTCCAGTACCACTGCTTTTAGACTCAGGATGCTTTATCATTTTTTGGTGAGTTTTCTTAGCTCTTTTCACACGTTTGTAAACAGTCCCTTCATTAAACTTGCTTTTCCTACCTACTTTAGAGGGGACCATCTGTTTTCTGGCAGGCCCCTGACTAATACACTGTTCAAAGCCAGAGTAAAGAGTGGGCAGCCCACTGTGACGCCCCTCAGCCCCCATTCACAGCTGCCCTTGATCCCAGCTACCCAGTGGCAGCTTTCATGGCTCTTTTCTGGTTGAGAATTCGTGTTTTCTCTTCCTTTTCTGCCAGGAAGGGCAGATAAAAAAGGAAATGACTTTTTTATTTATGGAAGGATGACAAAGAAGTGAGACCTTACTTGTTTCTCAAATTCATCCAAAGGGAGAATAGAGTGCCAGAATGTTTTTATTCTAGACTGGCTTCCTCATTCAGCAGTCCTGTGTCTTTGGACAAGTTATTTAACTTCTTTGAGCCTCAAGTTACTTATCTTTAAAATGGATATAGTAAACCCGGCTATGTATATTTATATATTTGTATATTTATATGATATATATGATATATATGTATATTTATATGATTTTGAGCTAGATTTGTTGTTTTTTCTCTTTACTAATATGATTAGTAAACTAATATGATTACTAATATGATTAGTAAAGAGGAAAAACAACAAATCTAATCATACTAATAAAGAGGAAAGAAAACAACAAACCTAGCCCATAGAATATGAAATACTATTAAAAATGTTAAGTATGATATCTGTAGGTACTTTCTTCCCTTCATTTTCTAAATTTTATGATAAGCATTTATTACTTTTTATGAGAGAAGAGGAAAAACATAGTCTTTGCCAACTCTACGAGGTGACTCAGGACATAAAACAAAAGGTTATATTGGGATGCACTTTGAGAACGGCAAAGTGCCATGAGGATGGGCATGACTCTTACTAACTTACCCTGTGTGGTTAAGTGGGCCTCCGCTTGCTTGTCCGGAGGTGACTCCTTTTGCTAGGCCCTGAGCTCTTGGGTCCCCAAAGCTCAAGAGGACATTACAGGAGGTTGGCAGCAACCCTGATGCCCCACTTCACCTCGGTGGTGCCACCACCCCTAAGGCTGACCCTCCTTCTTGGGCTGTCTTGATTTCAGCCCCAATCACTCCACTAATGTCTGGAGGATTTCTAGAAGCACCTGCCACAGGTCCAGGTCTGAAGGTCTCTTTGTCTGCTGCATGAGCTCAGACCCTGCTGGACAAGAGTAGCAGGCACTACTGGTTTCTCCTCCCTACCACATTCCCTTGCTGGAGCCAGAGAAGGAGCCCCATGGACATCATGGACACTTTTTGCTAACTCTTTTCTTGTGTGTTTTTGAATGAAACCTTTCTTTTGTGGCCATATTGATGATACAGTGCTTGCCTTCATTATCCCTCCCAAAGAAATGACTTTGATATAGGTGGCCCTTGGTTCAGGCTTTTTCACCTCTCTCTCTCTCTCTCTCAGACACACACACACACACACACACACACACACACACACACAGTCACACACACACACACTGTCACACACACAGATAAAGTTGAAGTCCCATTTTCCTTCCTTCTCAGTGTTAGCCACTATCATGAAATGAATTTGGGTTTATCTTTTATAGTAATGTTGTCTGGTTTAGAAGTGATCGGTTGTATTTTCTTAATTGATGTTCTCTTAAATATTACCATTAACATTTAAAAATAAATATTTTTATCAAAGTGTAGCATGCATACAGAAATTGTACAACTCTTAGGTGTATAGTTTGACAAGTAGTAGTGAGGGGTGAAGGAAGCAGTAGTCCACCCCAGCTTCAGGCAATAAGGGGGTTCATTGTCTGTAGAGAATCTAAAAACAGGAAAAAAGCAGCTTTTATTACCATCATGCATTGGATATTCTAATAAACGTCAGTGATAAGATACTCATCCTTGCTGGAGTAGACCACTCTGGTGGCCTCTCTACCTTTGTATACCACTTCACCTTGATAAATATCACACAGTGAACAAATCCAGGTAATGACTACTCATATCTATACATAGAATAGGGCTGACCAGGCGCGGTGGCTCACACCTGTAATCCCAGCACTTCGGGAGGCCAAGGCGGGCAGATCACCTGAGGTCAGGAGTTCGAGACCAGCCTGACCAACATGGAGAAACCCCGTCTCTACTAAAAATACAAAGTTAGCCGGGCGTGGTGGCACATGCCTGTAATCCCAGCTACTAGGGAGGCTGAGGCAGGAGAATCGCTTGAACCTGGGAGGTGGAGGTTGCGGTGAGCCGAGATCATGCCATTGCACTCCAGCCTGGGCAACAAGAGCGAAACTCCGTCTCAAAAAAAAAAAAAAAAAAAAAAAAAAAGAAGAGGGCCAGCACCCTGGAAAACTCACTTGTAATACCACAGATTCATTTTGCCTATATTTTAATCTTATATGAATGGAATCATATACTATGGGTTCTTTTAAGCCTGGGCTTCTTTTATTCAGCTTCATGTTTGTAAGATTCGTCCATACCATTATGTGTAGCAGTTTATTCATTTCTGCTGTGTAATATTTCATTGTGCATATACAAAACATATTTATCCATTCTCTGGTTGATTAACATTTGGGTTGATTTCGTTTTGGGGCTATCATGAACAGTGCTGCTATGAACATTCTTGTATGTGTTTTTTGGTGCACATATGTAGGCATTTCTATTGGGCAGATTGGGCATTCCTATTGGGCAGCAGAATTGCTGGTTCAGACAGTGTGTACCCTCAACTTCAGTAGATTCTGTCTGAGGAGTTTTTTCAGCCATGTGGAACTGTTAGTCCATTAAACCTCTTTCATTTATAAATTACCTAGTCTTGGGTAGTATCTTTATAGCAGTGTGAGAATGGACTAATACACTGCCACTTTCTTAAAATGGTTATACTGAGTGACAACCTTACCAGCAATCAAGAGAGGTTCAGGTGACCCGCATTCTCACCAACACTTTGTATAGTCAGCTCCTAAAATTGTAATCATTCTGGGAGAAGTATAGTGGCATCGTATTGTAGTTTTATGTAATAGGCATTTCCTTGATCTCTAATGAGTTTAAGCAACTTTTATGTGTTTATTGGCCATTTGAATATCTCCTTTCTAAAATGCCTATTCAAGTCTTTTCCTGCATTTTAAAATTGAGTTGTCTGCTTAATTGATTTGCAAAAGTTATTTATATAGTCTGGATAGGCTTATTTTTCCCGGTTACATATAACGTCTTTTTTTCTACCAATGGTGTGCTTTGAAACACAGCAGTTTCTAATTTTAATGTAGATCAATTTATCAATTTTTTCTTTATGGCTAGTGCTATTTGTATTCTGTTTAAGAAATCTTTGCCTACCACTATGATTAATTCTTCTATTATTATTTAGAAGCTTTATCGTTTTGTTTTTCATATTTAGATTTAATCTACCTGGAATTGGTTTTTGTGTGTGGTGTGAGATAGGGGTCATTTTTTTTTCCATGTGGTGATCCAATTTACCCAGTAATTGGAAAGTAAGGGTAATGATCATTCTGATTTTGCTTCTAACCTCAGAGGAAAATCTTTCAACAATTTACCATTAAATGTAATGTTTGCTGTAGGAGTTTTGGTAGCCATCCTTCATGGAATGAAGAAAGTTTCCTTCTATTACTTGTTGGCTAAAAAGTTATTTTTTTCCTTTTAAATCATGAATTGGTGTTAAATATCATCAGATGATTTTTCCTCATTTATTACAATGATTATATTCATTTAAATATTTTTCTTTTAAGTTAACATTAACATTGACATATTTTCAAAATGTTGAAATAGCCTTCCTTTTGGGAATAAACCTAACTTGGTCTTGATGTCTTCTATTCTTTTTCTATACTATATTTTATTTGTTTCATGCTTGTGAGTCTTGCTCTTATCTCCTTGGTGACAGGGGTTTGCCTCACACGGATTTGATACCTCTCCTCCCATAGTGCTGGGCTCTTAGGAGATGCCCAATGCCTGGAGTCATTAATCCAAGCAGCGTTGTTTTTCCTTCCTGTAGTTGGGTGCATTTGACAGCTTGGATGGTGTGATTCTCCCAGTGGCTAATGAGCAGCTCAGGAATGCTAATGAAGGACTTCCTTTGGTTGTCTCCTGTGAGTCAGCAAATGAGCTCTGTAACTTGGAGAGCCAGAAGTTAATTAGTGCCCTGGTATAGACAGACCCTGATGGAAATAAGGGAATTTGGGTCTGTCAGAGAAGAGCGCTAGGAAGCTTTGAAGGTGAGGCCTGGATTAGGGACGTGAGGTGAAAACTAAAGGGAAGCCAAGGCTACGGTTTATAAATAAATGCCAGTGTTGGAGCTCTGTAAAGAAAACCAGGAAAGCCCAGAACATGTGGCCTAGACAGAAAGAAGAAGAGCAGGCCCAACATCTGGGTGTCGCTGACATCAGAGGCGCTGTTGATTCACCTCTTCCTTGTAGCAGAATACAGAGAGAAGTGCAGGAGATGTGTACAGCATGGATAGCGGAAGCAGATCACCTGGCAGGAGGCGGTGATGGATGAGGGATTTTAGGTGTCTTGCACTCCTTGTTCATTTTTCTTTGAGGCAGGATGGAAAGTCTAAAACCCCATCTGCTTACAAGTTTACTACAATAACCCGATGGATAAATAATTTGCAAGGCAATACCACGGATGATGAGCTCCAAATGAAATAGAATAGACTATAGACATGAGGCAAAGATGAAAGCTCAGTACCTTCCTGGCAGAACTACATAAGTGATGTCCACTGTGAGCACTGGACTCGGATGTGTTAGGCATGCTCATGATCTTGGGACGGTTACTTTGGCCAGAAAAATGTGTCACTCCCCTGGCTTAGGCAGATACCTAATTAGGTTAGGAGAACTGCCAAAAAGCACCCTATTGAAAGTTAAACTACTTCAAGGCACTGTGAGTAAAATATGCAAAATGTCACTGAGGCAGAAGTGAGCAAACCAGTAGAACAGGTGCAGCATGAAACTAACCTGCCAGGGACATTGTTAGTTCTGTTTCCTCTTGAAATCTCTTTTTTTTTCCCCCCCTGACTGTGTGGAAGCCCTGTCCTCTTTACTGCTGGAGACCCAGAAACAGATGCTCCCGCTGTCTCCTCACCTGAATTGTACTAGACTGAAAATGAAAATGAGGCTCCCAATTCTACCATGTCCATGTCCCAGCCATGCTGTGTTCACCAGGGAATGGCCCAGGATGGAACAAAGATGGATCAAGATTCTAAGTGTAAGCCCGTTCTTTGGAAGTGTAACCATTTGAATGAAACGTTCCTAATGTGTTGTTATTGTAGCAATGGTAACACCACACAGATGTCACCAGGAGTCTCCACAGCCTGGGAGAGACTTAAGCCTGTCCTCATGGTTTCTGCAAATTCTCACAGACTTATGGTTCTAAGCTGCATTGGATTGCTGGATGCAAAGAGCAGTCTCATCACACACCCGCACACTCCACTTTAAACATGTGACATGTTTTATTAGTTTAGCAATTTGCTGTAGATAAGAGGCATAGTGCTGTCAGGTGGGGTGGGATGGGGAATGAGGAGGCTGTGTCCTGCCCATCACAGCCTCTGGCTCTTCCCTCTCCTCTGTGCCTCTTGCTTTTCACTGCCTTTTCTGTTAGAATTCCTTCCTTCCTTCCTTCCTTCCTTCCTTCCTTCCTTCCTTCCTTCCTTCCTTCCTTCCTTCCCTCCTTCCTTCCCTCCCTCCCTCTCTTCCTTTCTTCCTTCTTGCTTTCTTGCTTTCTTCTTTTTATGGAATTTCACTCTTGTTGCCCAGGGTGGAATGCAATGGCACGATCTTGGCTCGCTGCAACCTCTGCCTCCGGGGTTCAAGTGATTCTCCTGCCTAGGCTTCCCAAGTAGCTGGGATTACAGGGGCCTGCCACCATGCCTGGCTAATTTTTTGTATTTTTAGTAGAGATAGGGTTTCACCATGTTTGGCAGGCTGGTCTCGAACTCCTGACCTCAGGTGATCCGCCCGCCTCGGCCTCCCAAAGTGCTGGGATTACAGGCGTGAGCCACCGCACCCGGCCAGAAATTCTTTATTTCTAACCCAGAGATGTCACTCCCTTTCCTGAGCCCTTGGTTCCAGCCATATCCATGCCCTACAAGATGTACATAGCTCAGGGGAGCTTCTGGGGTTGGGGGGTCCTACCAAGGAGTCTCTCTGTAAGAGATGATGTGGTACCAGCTCCTTTTAAACATTTTGAAGTGGACATCATTATTCCTGCTTCACACTTGAGGAGACTGAGGCCTGGCCTCAGTTTGGAGACGGAAGGGACTTGGTTAAAGTCCCACCTCCAGTAAAGAGTAGATCTGGGTCCCAAACCCAGGCCTTCTGACTCCATGTCCATCACTCTTTGTACCATCAAAGGGCAGAAACTCAAAGTGAACATCTGGGGGTTTGTAGAATCCTGGTGATTTCCACTTGGTTTCTTAAGACAATGCCTAGCCCAGGCTGAAAAGCATAATTAGCTCAGCCATAGACTCAGGCTCACCCCATGCCAACCCATGGCATCCAGCTCAGATTTGTACCCCGGAGTGGTCGGTGGGTATTAAACCTCTCTTGGAAGGCCAGGAGAGGACTTAAATGGCTGGGCCTTCACATTTATTTTCCTCTCTTCCCTTGGCTTTTTGTGGGGCTGAGCCTATCATTAATCAGGCTGTGAAGCAAAGGAAATAAAACACTGCCTTGGAAAGAGCTCTTATTTGTTTAAAATTGAAAAAAAAAATAACAACCCAGAAAAGACTGAAACATGTTTCCAACATACTGAATTTGATTATCTGTCTGTGCACAAAGGGACCCAGTCATTTGAAATTAAAGTTTAGAGAGTTGGCAAGTTTGTTTGATGAATCGATTGTGATGGGAGGAGCCCCCACCAACTGCAATGCTGAACTTCCTTCATCTCCTTTCTGTACATTCTGAGCATTTTGTTAATTGCTCTGATTGTTCAGTGCCACTGTGTTACAAGTTCCGGGGAGGGACAGAACTGGAGAAGTCCAATGTGTCTTCATCGTAGGGGCTTGAACAAGGGAGTCCCCAGTCTCTATCCAAGGTAGTGATCATTGGACCCACCAGCAGCTCCAGCACAATTGCTTTTGACTTTATTGTGAATTTGAATCAGAAATACAAGCCTCATCCATCGAGGAGCAAAGACACATGCATTGTTCAGACAGCAGAACAGAATGCAGGCCAGTGGGAAGCAGAGGATGTTATTATTGTTCTCTAGAGCAGCTCAGAGAGGAGAAAGCCTGGCAGTGAGTGCACAGGAAGCAGAAACTGGCAGATATAATCCAGCAATATGAACACTGGGATATGTTGTTCAGCACTTTGAGTTGCAAAATAAAATCCCGGTGGATGGGGCACCCCTCTTCCCCCTAACTCAAGCTCCCCCATTCCTCACGCTGCAGAGTTCATACTGAGTGCTCTTTTGCCCTGCAGCATCCGGAACAGTTGATTATGCCCCTGTCTTGTTTTGGAGCCTGCAGGGACTCCCTGATGCCGAGGGAACAGTTAACTTGGCATTCAAGTTCACTTTACCACCTGCTCCTCGACTTGGCCCCACCTGCCTTTTCCACCTATTGCCTGTGTGTCCCTTCTTGCACCTGCATTTTAGCCAGATGCAACTGCTGTCTTCTCCATAACCACTTTTCCTCCGTGTCCAGTTCATGCCTTTTCTTTGTTTTATGCTTGAAATGCCCTACATTTCATCTTTGCATGCCCCCATTCTTCTCATGATTTTGGAGCCTTGATGAAATGACACCACCTTCTTCTATTTCTCCCCTCTTTGCCCCTCCTCTGGATTTGCATAGTCAGGAGTCTTCCCTCTCACAACATCCATCACCTTCTACTTCATATCACACTGGCTTGGAAAGATTTCTTTTCCACATGCTTTATCTGATACATTCTTTGAAAGCAGGGGTAAGAGATTACTTGTCGTGTCCACTCTGGGTACAGGCAGGATGCCTTGGGCAGAGTAGGCATCCAAAAATGTTTGATGAATGAGAGACTTATTGAAGCAAGGGTTAGCAGTCTTTGGCTCAGGTTGGTACTCAGTGCATTCATCTGTCCATCCTGTCCTTCCTTCTCTCTATTCCCTCTTTTGCTTTTTCCTCTTCTCTACCTTCTCCTTTTCCTCTTTTAATTTCATTTACCCCCAAGCCTTGACATTCTACACAGCTCTGCTGGGCACACCCCATCTCTGCAGGTTGCTGGTTTCTGCTACAGGGGTGTTTGCTATGGTCCTAGACGACTTTTCAAGAACAACAGCAACAAAGAATCTGCACACTCAAGGTGGTTTTGTTTCAAGGAAGTAGGGTCTCTTTTCCACGTGATGCTTGTCTGCTATGGAGACTACTATTTGAAGTGATGTATTCGTGGAGCATTTCTTTCTCTCTGAGAAGTGGCAAGTGTTCTTCCCTGACCAGGGTCTCTGTTCATCTCCAAAGGTGGGTCTCGGTTCATCTTCAAAGGTTAGGCATGGAGGAGGCAAGCTGGCACAGGACCGAGTAGCAGCCAAGCCTCTCTCCTTGCTCAGATCTCACCACAAACCCCAGCTCCCGCTCTGGCCAGGATTACTGGGTCATAGCTGTTTGGCTTAAAGCAGCAGGAGATCAGTGAGGCACTAGGAAAAGAGCACCAGGTGGGCTTGCCTCTGGCTCTGCCACACAGTCGGACGTGGGGGAAAACTGCCAACATCGAGGGAGCTCAGTTTCCTCTTCTGCACATGGGGTGGGAAGAGTTAGATGGTCTCTGGGGTGTTTTCGAGGCCGAATCTCCAGAATTCCCAATTTGAGATTCCAAATGCATCTGGAGACTGCGGTGGCTCAGCCTGAGTGGGGCCAGGAGGTGGCAGCACCTGCTCTGTTTAGAGCCTGATGCAGCCGCAGGGGCTGGGCTGTCACTTCTGTAGGGCTGGGGTGTACATCATGCTCCACTCCCTCTGGACTCTTTTATTACATTTCACTGCAAGTTGTTTGTAGTCTGCTGGGTCATGAGACGGTCGCAGCAAGATTGCCAAACCCTGGGTACAGGGGACACTTATTGTCCCCTCTCTGACTTCACCTGGCATGACACACGCAGGCCAGGGCACAGTCATCCGCAACAAGGCCCCAGTGACAGGCTCATATCCGGGCAGCTTGCTGGAGCTCCTTGACGCAGGCTTCCGTCTCCCCGAGGGCAAATGAGAGCTGCATCCATGAGTAAGCGCATGTGTTCGCCCACTCTGAATGAGCACGCCTGTCTCCCAGGGCCGTGCGCTTCCTCCAACAGCTGCATTTGCTCAGGGCAAAAATGGAAATGCCTAATGCCAGGCATGACTGATCCTAGCCAGATAAAATGATTGAGGGTTGTTCATCAAATTTGGGGAGCTTTTACTAAATGGACATGCACACAGACACTTAAAATGTAATAGAATGCCTGAATTGCGTGGAACCGTACACATGATCTAGTTTAGTGGTTCTCAATCCCACCGGGCATCACCACTGAAGCTTGTTAGAAATGTAGATTCCTAGACTCAGCTCTAGCCCCATCGAGTAAGAATGTCTAGTGCTGGAGGGCAGGCGCGGTGGCTCACGCCTGTTATCGCAGAACTTCGGGAGGCCGAGATGGGCGGATCACGAGGTCAGGAAATCGAGACCATCCTTGCTAACACGGTGAAACCCCGTCTCTACTAAAAATACAAAAAAATTAGCCGGGCGTGGTGGCAGGCGCCTGTAGTCCCAGCTACTCTGGAGGCTGAGGCAGGAGAATGGCGTGAACTCCAGGGGGCGGAGCTTGCAGTGAGCCGAGATGGCGCCACTGCACTCCAGCCTGGGCGACAGAGCGAGACTCCGTCTCAAAAAAGAAAAAAAAAAATGTCTGGTGCTGGAACCTAGGAACCGGTATTTTTAACAAACTCTTCAGGTGTGTCTAATGTAGCTTGTCTGCAGAAAGGCATTTAGGAACCACCATCTAGTCTATCCCTGGCATTCAGGGAGCTTGTTAGCAAACTCTTGCTCTCCTTTGCTTCCTCCTCTCCCTCATGGAATCAGAATCCCTGGTGAGGGGATAGCACTCTGATTCAACAAGCCCTCCAGGAGTAGGGTGACCAACTAGGCTCGGTTTGCCTGGCACTGTCATGGTTTTACCACTGAAACGCCAATATCACAGGACTTCCCTCAGTCCTGGGAGTACTGGAATGGCTGGCTACCTCTTGAGGTGATTTTTATGCACTCTAAAGTTTGAGAAGCACTGGAAACAATTTATTTCACAGTTGAGGAAACTGGAGCCAGGACAAGAAGCAGTTTGCCCATGGACAAGCAGTGAATTAGCAGTACAGACAGGGCAAGTCTTCCAGCCCAGCATCCTTGCTACTCCTGGAAATATTTTGCTCTAAGTAGCTGCCTCACTCTTTCCTACTCTCCACTAGGAGCTAACCCTGGAGGAGCTCATTATGGCGTGGCCATATTCCAGGTGAATAATCTGTATTCTATGGCCTTATTTGAGTGAGGCGTGCGTAATGACAGGTGCAGGTACCATTACACTTTAATGAATTCTTCTGGGGCTTCTCTTGGCCCACGTGGGGAAGGTGATTTACAATTTAATGTATTTCCATTTGGCCATAATCCCCAGGATAACAGCATTACTGAAACGGAAAATCTTTGACAAGGGATTACAACCCAGAGGCTGTGGTACAACCAAGTCGGGGTCCCTAGCTGCTACGCTACCTCCAGGGGCTTCCCAGGGGCCGTGGGATAAGCCCTAGCATGTCTCCCTTTGTCCTGTCACCGATGGCCACCAAGACTTGCCAAGCTATATTGATTATCAGCTCCAGGTTTGACTTATTTATTCCGTGGTGCTTACTGCATTACCAATTAGCTATGAATGGGGTAACAGGCCAGGGGCTCTTGTGATACAGGGGTTCCCAAACTGGAGCATGCATCGGAATTACCTGGAGGGCTTGTTAAAGCACAAGTGCTGGCCCCTCCCCCAGAGCAACCATAGAGTAGCCCATTATGAGCACTTGAGTGATTTTGTCAGGTGCTGCTCATTATTGATGCCACAAGGCTGGCCTTACTGTCTAAGTCAGGGTACTAGGTGGTTTCTAAAGACTCTCCTAGCAACAAAACTTATAAATAAGGTAGGTCTAGCTTTACATGGGATATAATTTCATCATTACTCTTCTCCCTTCTCCTAAATGTTCCTTTGTGTAGGCCAACACCTAAAATCTCACAAATAGAGAACAGTTTTTTTGATGTAAATGTTTACCTTCATCAACATGTAAATATCTAAGGGTAGAGGCGGAAAGAACACTAACATTTATTCAGAATCTTTTTTGATCCATTTATCACAGGGCAGAAATATTAATGCTTTTCGGTCATTTGTACTTAAAGCCTCTTGATCTTGAGATCTGTGGTTCCAGGGTCTCCTGGTTTTCTTCCCACCTCTCTGGCCATCCTTCCTAACCCCCTTCCCTAGCTCCTCCTCTTCTTGACTTCTTTTTTTTTTTTTTGAGACGGAGTCTCGCTCTGTCGCCCAGGCTGGAGTGCAGTGGCCTGATCTCGGCTCACTGCAAGCTCCGCCTCCCAAGTAGCTGGGACTACAGGCACCTGCCACCATGCCTGGCTAATTTTTTTTGTATTTTTAGTAGAGGCAGGGTTTTACCGTGTTAGCCAGGATGGTCTTGATCTCCTGACCTTGTGATCCACTGCCTCAGTCTCCCTTCCTGAGTTCTCAATATTGGTATGCCCAGGTCTCAGTCCTGGGTTCACTTCTTTTCTCTATCCCCTTAGCTTAAAACCCCATCAGTGTTCTGATGGCTCTCAAATTAGACCTCCGGCCTGGACCTCTCCTCTAAGCTCCATCTGCCTGACAGCTTCACGTGGATGTCTGCAGACTCCTCAAATGACGCATGCCTAAAGCCACATCACATGATGTATAAAATCTACCAGCTTATCCATCTCCACTAGTTTCCATCTCCTTAGCCTAGGCCACCATCATCATCTATCTTCTGGACAATACAATGGTGTCCTACTACTTTATTCCACACAGTGGCCAGAAAGATGTTCTTAAAATGAAAAGCAGATGGTCTCTCCCCTCCTGAGAACCTTCCAGAGGTTCACATCTAAACTCCTTGCCATGGCCCACATGCCTGGTGAGATCTATTTCTAATCTATCCCTCCAGCATTATTAAGCCATGTCCCCAGCAGCTCATACACTCCAGCCATGTGCTTTCTTTTGATTTCTAGAACACAAGCTTTATGCCACCTCTGTATGTGTTGTTCCCTCTGCTTGGAAGGTGTGCTGTTTTGCTGTCGTGCCATGGCTGGCTCCTTCTCATCATTCAGTTTCAGCCTAAACATCACTGTCTCAAAACATACTTCTCTGACCAGCCTATGATAAGTAGATATCCCATGCCTTATCACTCTTTTCTATTTATATTTGTCTTTGCAATCTGGAATTATTTTATGCTTCCAGTCTGATTCCTTGTCTCTCATCTTGCTCCTCCATTGGGCTGTGGGCTCTGCAAGACAGGATGTTGGTGGTGAAGGAGCTGACTGCATTGCCTGGTGTGCACAGCAGGCCTTAGAGAATGAGTGAGTGGGTCTGATCCCATCTGGAGGACATAATAACCCTGCTCAGGGGGACCAACCAGGGCTAGGAGGGAGAGGAGCAGAGGAAGAGAAAGAAGGGTTCAGACGTGAGAAGCCATGAGCGAGCTCTCAAGTCACAAAGATCATTATGGTTTGTTATAATAAGTACAAGAATAGCTCTATGCACAGTTTCCCATAGACACACAGAAGAGGCATCCTAACCCAGCCTGTGTGGTCAGAGGAAGTTTCTGGAAGGAAGTGACACCCAAACAGAAACGGACACTTTGAATGCAAATTAGCTAACTGAAAAATAGGAGATGGGGTGCAGTAGCTTATTTGTTTGCTCTACAAACACTGACTGCGATCTGGGCACCATGCTGGTCACATGTCTCCTTTCAAAGCTACCCTGGAAATTGCCAATTGGTGGTAAAGACTAAGCTTGGGAGTGAGCCACAGAAGCAGCATGGTATAATGATGTAAAGCATGAATTCTGAGCAGACAGAATTGAAATTAGTTTTAAATCCACACTTTTACCACTCATTATGTGACCATGAGCAAGTTGCTCCAACTCCCTTCCCCTCCATTTTCTCATCTGCGGGGAGCAATAGTGCTCAGTAGTCTTGTGAGGATACAAGGAAAAATTTTATTAATGCATTTAGCATGAAGCCTGGCAGACAGCAAACACTCAGTAAATAACGTTGTCACTATCATTATCATGGTAGTAGATTATATGATTAGCCTCAACTATTGTCTTCTTCCTTCTGAGTTAAAGGATTATACCTCCTCTCCCATTGCTGTGTGACTCACGGCATCTCTCTGTTGAAGGAGGATACATTCCCAGTCCCAAGATAATATCCTTGGTCGTGTATGACATGTGTTGGTCAATAGAATGTGAGAGGGTGGAATGTGTACCATGTCTGAGTAGAAGTTTTAAGAGGCATCCCATGTTTCCACTGTGAGAATGTCATGCCATAGATTGGGACTGTGCCCTCAGCCTGGGTCCTAAAATGAGAAGGCACAGGGAGCAGAGCTGACCTGTAGCCACTGACATGTGAAATGAGAAGAAAATTAAGTGTTGGTTGTTGTAAGCCACTGAGACTTTGCAGTTGTTACTGCAGCAAAATGTAAGCCACTGAGATTTTGCAGTTGTTTGTTATTGCAGCAATAATATTATCATCTTCTTGTAGGAGAGTGAGGAAAGACTCTTTGGAGAACAGGATCCTTAAGTTGAGCAGTGAAGATGATAGAAATTCTATTTAGACACAGTGGATGTAGATGGGGAATATTCCAGGTGGAGGAAAAAGACCTGCAGAAGTTCTTGGATTCAGGAGATAGTGTTGGTTACTAGAGGAATGGAAAAGAAGTTCAGAATAGCCGAAGAATGTGAAAGGAAGAGTGGTGACAAGTACAGCTGGAGAGATAGCTAAGGGCTAGGTCATGAAGGGCCTTAGAAGCCACGATAAGAAATTTACGTTTTATCCTAAAAACAAATTGAGACCATTTCACGATCTGTTTTTGCCTTTAGAAAGATGAGTCTGGCTGGCCGGGCGCGGTGGCTCACGCCTGTAATCCCAGCACTTTGGGAGGCCGAGGTGGGTGGATCACAAGGTTGAGAGATCGAGACCACCCTGGCCAACATGGTGAAACCCCGTCTCTACTAAAAATACAAAAAAAGCTGGGCATGGTGGCAGGCGCCTGTAATCCCAGCTACTTGGGAGGCTGAGGCAGGAGAATCACTTGAACCTGGGAGGCGGAGGTTGCAGTGAGCCGAGATCGTGCCATTGCACTCCAGCCTGGGCAAAAAGAGTGAAACTCTGTCTCAAAAAAAAAAAAAAAGAAAGAAAGATGAGTCTGGCTGACTGCAAAGATTGAGTGAGAGGGCAAGAAGATGATGAAGAAGGCTGACAGGAGTCCAGGGAAAGGATAGGATGTGAGAGTTGTTTGGAAAGACTTGGAGCCTCCTATGTGAGATTTGAGGGGAGGGAGTCAATGACAGATCTGTCTTGGGAGCTGTGGTGGCCTTGATGGAGGGCACAGCATAGGAGTAGTCGAAGGGAGGCAAGTGAAAACGATGGCTTGGCCATTTGCAGTTGCAGGTGCTTGAGGAATGCTGTGACATTCTAACAACAGCAATGTGCCCAGCTATAAACTACTTGGTCCAACTTCCTTTGCAGCGAAGGGCAGCCATTTCACACTCTTTTGATCAAGGAGAAACAAGTTGAAGTCTGCTGGGGACTTCAGGGAAAGTTTTGTTTTTATATTACAGGGTGAGTATCCCTTATCCTGAAATGCTTGGTACCAGAAGTGTTTGGATTTTGGAATATTTGCATATACGTAATATATCCCACATCTTGGGGATGGGACCCAAGCCTAAACCTGAAATTCATTGATGTTTCATATATGTCTTCTACACATAGCCCAAAGGTAATTTTGTACAATATCTTAAATTATTTGTGCCTGAAACAAAGTTTGTGTACATGGAACCATCAGAAAGCAAAGGTGTCACTCTCTCAGCCAATCATGGGGATAATCTATGGTTGTTTGGCCTCACCATTATTCCTGACTCTGAATTTACATGCTGTTGATTAGCAATCACTTTCTTATATTTATTCACACATAAGTACTTAACAGTAAGAAATGTGACATACCATTAATACAGTGAAAAAATAACGTGTCAGGGTAACTAAGCAGCACAGTAGCATCACCAGGATACCTGCGTCATGTTACACAACAGCAACCACAAACAATGGCAGGCTTTCCGTCTCCACCTACAATGTTGTGTTTGGATTAAAAGGTGACCCCACAATCTATTTTATGTTTTTAGGTGGGAAGAAACTGTATATGGTGGTTATTCCAACACCATACTCTGCTGTAAGACATTTCACACTGACATTGCTGTCCAGTTTCTCCTATAGCTTGACTTTCTATGCTATAGACAATCATAAATGCTTCCTCTTTTTCTTATTATTTCTTTTTCTTATATTGTTATCCATAGGAGCATCTGCAGGCCTTTATGACATCTTCAACAACACCTTTACACCACAGGGTAGAGAATAGATAAACAACCACAGCAAGTAATGCCTGTAGGTCTTGGCCCCACATGGGGCATTGTGGAGAACCCGCCATTGGTGAACCCAGCCTGCATTTTGTTACCCTTTGTGGGCATGCTTGCTGGGAGGGAGTCTGGGCATGTGCAGGAAGGATGTATATAGCACCTGAAAGGGTTGGGACAGTCTTTTTTCCCTTGGGAACACTGGACAAACTATGTGTTGTTCGCTTGGGTTTCGACTGCGACCTGTCACATGAGGTCAAGTGTGGAATTTTCCATTTGTGGTATCATGTTGGTGCTCAAAAATGTTTGGGTTTTGGAGCATTTTGGACTTCAGATTTTCTGATTAGGGATGCTTAACCTGTGTAGGCACCATCATTTCCTCTGGACTCTTCCCCTATCTGTTTCCTGGAATGAGGATTGTTGGACTAACAACCTTATCAGAACCATAGGGGAAAAGCCAAGGGAATTTCAGAGACCTTGGCCCCAACATCTTTGAGTTACTCGAACACCTGTTGAGCTGAAAATACAGATTTGGGAGACATCAGCATGTGGGTGGCCAATAATTCTGTAGGAGTGGATGACATATTTTTGGGGATAGTATGGAGTGAAATGGTCAAAGGGCCAAGGACAGAATCATGAGGAAATATCATCGCTGCGTGATGCAAATAACACAGTAACATACTTTAATCTTGTATTTTCTAAAAATAGTGAACATGGTACAGATAGCACCTAAGGTCCCCCAACCAACATCACCAATGCTAATCCTCTAACTTGATCCCCAGAAATAACCACTTTTTAAATGTTTGGTTTGTATTCTAAAGAAACACTTCCACTTTTACTCCCGCAAACAGTGCAAAAGAGTACTTGTTTCCCCATGTTCTGTCATCATGTGATGTTATAAGACTTAATATTTGGATCATCTGATAAGTGAAAAATAGCATCATTTAATATTTTCCTACCTTTTAGTGAGACTGAGCATTTTCTATTTATTTATTCCTCATTTGTAAACCTTCCAAGAACTGTTTTTTCATATCTGCAGACTATTTTCTATTGGATAGTTTGTCCTTTTCTTATAGATTTCTAGGAGTTCTCTGCATATTCTGAGTACAAGTTCTTTGATAGTATTTGCAAATATTTTCTCTCAGTTTCTTGAAATTATTTGATGCTATATTTTAGTACATAGCACTTGAAAAAGTCAGATTTATCTATCTTTATGATTTTTGATTTTAACATCCTTACCGCAAGGATATAAAAATATTATATTTTCTTTCACTTTTTAAAGTAGCTTGGTTTTACATTTAGGTATTTTTTCCGTCTAGAAATTTTCTTTATTCATATGAGACAGGTATCTATTTTCCTTCCCCAAATAGAGAGCCTATCTGCTCTAATACCATCTTTTGAGTAATCCATCTTTCCTCTTCTTATTTGAAATGCCACCTCTATCATTTATCAAATTCCCTATACATCAAGGTCTGTTTCTGACTCTGTGCATTCTATTGGCCTATCTTTTATAACATCAGATAGGTTCGATTTACTTCTCTGGATCCATTCTCTACATTTCACCCTGCCCACTGCCCTGGGAAGCACTATGGAATATACAGACAATTCTCCAGCACCCAGCTGAGCCAATGGAGGATCTCCAATAGAAGATGAGGGAGTGAAAAGGATGAGAGCGGGATATTTATTCTCCTGGCTCTCTGCCTGCAGGGCTGCTTGGGGTTGGCTGTGTTCCTCTATTGAAGATCACATGTCTTCTCAAGGTGGCCCTCTTGTCCCAGCTCCTTCCTTCTGGATTCTGGTAACTGCTCTCCCTCTGCCCCTGTATGCCTTGGGGTGATAATATCCCCAGTGACGCTTGCTCTGGGATACGGCACTTTTCCTTGTGATTTCCTAGACCCTGTCTATTTCATGTGTAGATAGTCTCTGTATCAAAACCTCCTTGATTCCTCCTAATTGGAATATGCTGTTGGTTTCCAGCTGGGATCCTGATTGATATGGTCACATTGAGATTTTGATTGAGATTGCATTGAATATATAGATTGTTTTGGAGAGAAATGAAGTACAGTATAGAATCTCTCCATCCAAGAACATGATCAATCTTCCTTTATTAACATCTTTTAAAAAATGTCTTTCTATAAAATGGTGTGTTTTTTCTCAAAAAAGGTTTTGCATATTTATGATAGACTTACTTGTAGGTAGCTTGTAGCTTTTGTTTCTATAATGAATAAGATTTTTTTTCTAAAATATATTTAGTTGGTAAATGCTAGTTTATAGAAAAGTTGTTGATTTTTGTGTAGTGATTTTGCATCTGGATACTTTGCTGAACTCTCAAATAAGTTTCAATAGTTTTCAGTTGTTTTTTCTTCAGTTTTCTTAATCTCTTCTGTAGGTAATGACAATTTTATTTCCTTTTCAATTTTTAAATAACTTTTATTTCTTTCTCTTATATTGTTTCTTGTTTTGGAAACTGGCTAGACCTCTAATACAATGTTGAATAATATTAACGGCAGTAAACATTTTTGTCTTGCATGATATTAATAGGTCATTGCACCAAGTTAAAGACTTTAGTTCTGACTTATTTGCTAAAAGTTTTAAGAGTAATAAATAGCTGTTGAATTGTATCAAAGACCTTTTCAGCAGTTGGGAGTTATTTTTAAAATTGATCTATACCAGTTATGCATATAATAATTATATTTTTATTTTATTTTTTATTAAAGTTATACATGTTCATTTGTTAAAAATAAGACTTCTAATAAAAATAGCTTTCTTTAGCCATTATTTCTCGCACTTCTCACTTCCCTGAGACAGTCATTTCCAGTTCTTCTGGCTGTTTCTTCTGGGTATTTGCCTCCATAGCTTTTAATTACATGCACATACTGCCATTTAAAAAAATTTGTTTGAACATTTTCCTCTACGGATTAGAAAGTTACAAAGTTTATCTTGATTTTTTCAGGTCTTTCTTCCATTTTGACATAATACGTAACTGAATATTTTTCTCATGAAGTCTAGAGTTAATTAGTATTTATATTCTTCCTCTGCATATAACAAAAATGCATGCCTTTATTTGTCTTTCCATTATCCAAACCCCATGTTACTATTGATTCAAATTTTGAATTCAGATTTTTATTAAAAACCTTTTTTTGTTACAATCAATACTTATTTAGATTTAACAACATATTTTTCTGATTCCTTTCCTTAATATTTCTTCTTTATAAACAGTATATAAAAATGTTTTATTAAATATCGAGTATATACAAAATAATATGCATGAAATATGTATAAGATACAAAATAAAAATACAATGAGCACATGAGTACCCAAAATCCTGTGTAAGGAAAGAACATTATGTTATCTTTGAAGTCTTCTCTGTGAATCTCCTTGCTGTTTTTTTTGTTTTGTTTTGTTTTTGAGATGGAGTCTTGCTCTGTCGCCCAGGCTGGAGTGCAGTGGCGCGATCTCGGCTCACTGCAAGCTCCGCCTCCCGGGTTCACGCCATTCTCCTGCCTCAGCCTCCCGAGTAGCTGGGACTACAGACTCCCGCCACCACGCCCGGCTAGTTTTTTTGTGTTTTTAGTAGAGACTGGATTTCACCATGTTAGCCAGGATGGTCTCGATCTCCTGACCTCGCGATCCACCCGCCTCGGCCTCCCAAAGTGTTGGGATTACAGGCATGAGCCACTGTGCCCGGCCGAGTCTGCTTGCTTTTTCCTTCTTCACCCACCCAAGCATTCCCCACAAATTTGTGTTTGTCACTCCCTTCCTTTCCTGTATCATTTTGCCCCTTACACCTTTTTTTTTTTTTTTTTTTTGAGATAGAGTCTTGCTCTGTCACCCAGGCTGGAGTGCAGTGGTGCAATCTCACCTCACTGCAACCTCTGCCTCCCGGGTTCAAGCGATCCTTCTGTCTCAGCCTCCTGAGTAACTGGGATTTCAAGTGCTTGCCACCATGCCTGGCTAGTTATCGTATTTTTAGTAAAGACGGGTTTTTGCCATGTTGGCCAGGCTGGTCTGGAACTCCCGACCTCAAGGGATCCACCCGCCTCAGCCTCCCAAAATGCTGGGATTACAGGCGTGAGCCACCGTGCCTGGCCCCCTTACACTATAAATTGTGATTTTATCTGCAAGTGATATAAAAGTATCTATGGTTTCTTTTCCAATATCTGAATAAATGGAATCATTCTTTATCATGTTTATATCCTTAACTTTATTTAGTCTTACAAGTTTTTTAACTTTATGTAAATAAATAGCACAGTATACATTCTTCTACAAAAAATTTCTCCCCTCCCCCATTCAACATTATGTTTCAGAGATTGTCTGCATTTTTGTATGTAGCCTTACTGCTGTATTGTATTCCATGATTAATTATCTTGGGAGATGGGATAGATAGGTGGCTAAGAACACAGCCCTTAGACTTATAATATCCCTGTTCAAATTCTTGGGTCCACCATTTATTAACTGTGTGACAGTAGACAAATTTTTTAACCTATTTATGACTCACTTTCCTTCTCTGTAACATGAGCATAATAATACCTACCTCACAAGAGTGTGGTGAATGAGTTAAAAATGTATTAGTATTGGCTGGGTGCAGTGGCTCACGTCTGTAATCCCAGAACTTTGGGAGGCAGAGGCAGGTAGATCACGACGAGGTCAGGAGTTCAAGACCAGCCTGGCCAAAATGGTGAAACCCCGTCTCTACTAAAACTGTAAAAATTTGCCGGGCATGGTGGCGGGCCCCTGTAATCCCAGCTACTCGGGGGACTGAGGCAGAGAATTGCTTGAACCCGGGAGGCAGAGGTTGCAGTGAGCCGAGATTATGCCACCGCACTCCAGCCTGGGCGACTGAGCGAGAATCCATTTCAAAAAAAAAAAAAAAAAAAAAGTAGTAGTATTTAGAACACTTTCTGGCATGTTATAAGCACTATATAAATATTAGCTATTATTGTTGTGTGGATGTAACATAACTTATTTATCTGTTTAATGGCTGATGGGCATTTTTTACCATCTCAAATGGTGCTTCTGTGAACATCCCTGCACATGCTCCATGGTCCACATGCATGTACTCACAGGGCATGAGCATCTTCAACTGTAGAATCCCAAGTTGTCTTCTAGGGTGATTGTAATAGTTGACACCTCTACTAGCACCGTGTAAGTGTTTTGTTTGCTGCACTTCTTCATTGCACTTGGAATAAAGAGATTTTACAATGTTTGCCACCATGGTGATTATAAAATAGTATCTTGTTATGGTTTATTTTTCATTTCCCTGATTACTAGTGTAGTAGACCATATTTTTATTTGTTTATTGGCTGTTGCAATCTGGTTCCTTCTGTGTGGTTGTCTATTCAATAATTTTCTCTTTTTTGCCTAGTTCGTTTGTCTTACTGCTGCTTAGAAGTTTAAAAATATATGTTTGGCATCTTAATCTCTCACCAGTTATGTGGCATCTTAATCTCTCACCAGTTATGTGTTATAAATTTGAGGCTTGTATTTTTACTTCCTTTATAGTGTGTTTTGATGATCAAAAGTTACTCAATTTTATGTAGTTGATTTATAAATTTTATCTTTTATTATTTTGCTTATTGTATCATTTTAAAGGATCCTTTACTCACCCTGAGAACATACAAATATACTCTTGTCTCTTCTTTGGAAAGTTTGCCTTTCACTATTATATCTTTAGTCCAGCTAGAATTGAATCTTATGAGTGGTAGGAGGTTTGGGGTTCAATTTCATTTTTTCTCCATATAGATAGTAAAGTATCTCAGCAATATTTATTGAAAAGTTCAACTTTTTCCTACTGATGTGCAGTGTTCTAAAACAGTTCTTTATCTCATTGTTTGACATCTTTGTGTTTTGCTATAATATTTTAGTCCATTTGCATCTGTTGTAAGCACCAATTTATTTGGATGCATTTTATCTTCTTTCTTGCTACCATTTTATTTGTCTTGCCTTTGCTGTGTTTTTTCTTCTCCTTTCTTGCATTGTTTTGGTTAAATGCGATTTTTTATTTCACTTTTCCTTTCTAATTTTAGTAATTTTCCTAGAAATGCTCACATGCATATCTAACTTATCAAATCTGAAAGACTGTTAATTTTTTTAACTTCATTTAGAACAATAAAAGGACCTTAAAACAGGTTAACTGTGCTCACCTCTTCCCTGCATTATTTGTTTTTGCTGTGAATTTTAGTTTCTTTGGTTTATTTTAAACCCCACAAGATGATATGCATGTAGATCGTATTTTTTTAGGTTTACCTACAAATTCACCATATCTGTGCTCTTTGTTTCTTCTTATATCTCAGGTCACTTTCCTTCATCTGAAGTATATCCATTTGAATTCCACTTAGTGATGGTCTATTGTGTAAAATTCTCATCTTTTGTTTGCCTGAAAATGTCTGTTTTTCCCCTGCTTTTGAAAGATGTTTACAAAGATATTTTCTAAGTTAACAGATATGTTCTCTCAGCCTAATGAAGATATTATTCCACTGTCTTCAGGATTAGATCACTGCTATTTGGAAATCAGCTGTCAGACTGATTGTCATCCCTTTCGTGTCATCCCTGCTTGTCTCTATGGCAGGCTTTAAGATCTCTTTATCTTTGGTAGTTTCCATTTCATTGCGATATATTTGTTGGTCAAAGCAAGTAACAGGGCCAGCCCAGATTCAAAAGGTGTGGAAAAATACTCTACCTGTTGATGAGAGAAGTACAAAATAGTATGGCAATATTTTTAATTGAGTGTGCATTTTATTAGTCAACAAATGCACTTTATATTCTTTTGACAAATATTAGTAGATAAATGTAAAAGACATATTCTATTTAAAGACAATATTTGGTATCCAGGTAGATTTTTCAGAAAATCAGCCCACAGGTTAGGAACCATGAATGTAGAAAATGCTTCTCAAATGTTACTTTCAATAATCTTAGCAGCAATTACAATATACTGAATGCCTATTCTGTATTAGGCACTGTTCTAAGTGACTTTTTAAAGATAATTTTATTTTGATATAATTTTAGATATACGAAAAAGTTGCAAAAAGAGTACATAGACTTTTAATACATGCTTTATCACATTTTCCCTAAATGTTAACCTCTTACATCACCATAGTATAATTATCAAAACCAGGAAATTACTAGTGATACAATACTATTAACTAATCTACCTTATTTTAATTTCATAAGTTTTCCCACTAATATCCTTTCTTCGGTTCATAGTCTAGTCCAGGATTCCACATGGAACTGGCATGTCTCCCTGACTCCTTCAATCTGATGGTTTCTTGGACTATTTTTTTTTTTTTGCGTTTCATGACCTTGATACTTTAAAAAAACTAATGTCAATTTTTTTTGTAGAGTATCTCTTAATTTAGATTTGTCTGATGATTTTTATCCAACAGATTAAGTTTAAGCATTTTTGAGAATAACACAGAGGGGATGTTGTGCCTAGTACAGCATATCTGGGGAGACATGGTGTTGATTTGTCTTAGTATTGGTAATGCTAGCTTTGATCACATGATTAGGATGGTATCGGTCTTGGTCCATTTAGTGTTGCTATAAAGGAATACTGGAGGCTTGGTAATTTACAAGGAAAAAAGATTTATTTGGCTCATGAGTCTGAGAGCTGGAAAGGCAAGATTGGGCATCGAGTGAAGGCCTCAGGCTGCTTCCAATCATGGCAGAAGGTGAAGGGGAGCCTGTGTGTGCAGAGGTCTCATGGTGAGATAGGAAGAAAGAGAGAGACCTGGGAGGTGCCAAGTCCATTTTAACAACCAGCTCTCTTGGGAGCTAATAGAGTGAAAACTCACTCACCTCTGCAGAAGGGCATTAATCTATTCATGAGGGATCTGCCCCCATGACACAAACACCTTCCACTAGGCCCCACCTCCCAACACTGCCACACTAGGGATTAAATTTCAACATGAATTTGGTGGAGACAAAAAAAATCATATCCAAACCACAGCAGTGTCTCTCAGGTTTACCTTATTATTTTCCCCCTTGTAATTAATAAGAATTAATGTATTGATTTATAATTCATAGGAACCTTGTACAATAAGTATCAAGATACTCTTCTGTTTCTTATCATAGTTAATCTATCATACTTTTATTTTACATTTTCTGCTCTTTATCTCTCTCGGCTGAATTCTGGATAATTTTTATAGTTTTATCTTCCAGTTCTCTAATTTTCTCTTTAGCCATGCCTACCCTGCTAGCAAACACATCAATTGTCTTTTTAATTTCAAAATCTCTCATTGATTCTTTTAAGGAACTACCTATTTAAAAATCTTACTTTATTGATAAAATTTTATATTCATTTTTAAGAGGATTATAACTCTAATTTTTAAAAGCCCTTTAAATTTTGTATTAATATTTTTCCCACATGGAAGTTCTTTCTTCTGTTGGAGAGTTATCAGTTATGTTCACCTCACCCAACGTTTAGTAATTCTTGGCTCTGCATTCATTTTCTGTGACAAGATTCTTCCCTGTGATCCTGGAGCCTGCTGATTTTTTCCCATATGGTTGATAGCTTCTTAGCTGGTGGCATCAGTTGTTTCTTGGCATGGCAGGTAGGACGGCCTCTTGAGGCAGTGCCCAGCATAACTGTCCCACTGGCTTCCTGGAATGGTGGCCCACCAGCTTCCCATGTAGGTCTTGCTTGTTTTCCCAGAAGATGTTAGGATATCCTGTGGAATCTTAGCTTATTATGAGCCTTTTAATCTACTTCCCCCCTCCTTATATGCTTCACAGCCTCAGATCCACCAAAATTCTTCTATTTATGTGTAGTACTTAAAATAAAATCTTAGGGATTTGTGGTGGTAGGATGGGAACGTTAACACTTACATACCACTTACCAAATGTCATGTCCTGTTCTAAGTGCTTAACATATGTCAGCTTATTTATTTCTTGCAACATTCCTATTAGATAGGTATTATTCTTTCTTTATTTTTATAATATATATATATATATATATATTTTTTTTTAAGAAATAGAGACAGGGTCTCGCTATGTTGCCTAGGCTGGTCATGAACTCCTGGACTCAAGAGATCCTCCTGCCTCGGACTCCCAAAGTGCTGGGATTCTAGGATTACAGATGTAAGCCACTGCATGCAGCCTGAGGCAGGTATTATCCTTTTTTTTCTTTTCTTTCTTTCCTTTTTATTTTTTTAATGCTCTGTCACCCAGGATGGAGTTCAATGGCATGATCTTGGCTCACTGCAACCTCCGACTCCCGGGTTCAAGAGATTCTCCTGCCTCAGCCTCCTGAGTAGCTGGGATTACAGGCACGTGCCATCACGACCGGCTAATTTTTGTATTTTTAGTAGAGATGGGGTTTCACCATGTTAGTCAGGCTGGTCTTGAACTCCTAGCCTTGTGATCCGCCCGCCTCGGCCTCCCAAAGTGCTGGAATTACAGGCGTGAGCCACCACACCTGGCCTATGTATTCTTCTTTATTCCTATTTTATGGATCAGGAGAATGAGGCCCAGATGTATTAAGTGGCTTCCCCAAGATCACAGAACCAGAGTACTGCTGAACCATGGGCTTTGAAATCCAGATACAAAGCTTCCCTTTGCACTCCTCTCCTTATCAGTCAATGAGCCCAGCTTCTACAGCCCTGACACCCCAGAGCAACATCCCACCCCTCACCTCACAGCCTGCAACTACAGTGACTGTCATTACAAGAGTGGCAATTAGTTCTGCTACTATGACCCATGTGACCTTCAAGGCACAGAAAGAGGAGGATTTTGGCCCTTGCTCTTCCCTGCTCTACCCCCTGGCTTCAACCACTGCTGCAGGACCGTGTTGTTGAAATAAGATTATTATAAGAAACAATCCCCTGCGAGACCTTGGACATGTAATGTCTCTTCTTCTGAGCCTGCTTTTCCCATATGTAAATAAGTACTGGAGGTCGAACTGGAAAAGAGTTTCTTTAGATTTTTTTCAGCTCTATCGATTCTCTGAATCTACGATTCACACGATTATATTTTCGTTATTTTGTTTTATTGTATTTTGACTTATTTGCATTTCCTTTATTTACTTTTCTTCTTGTTTAAATTGGCCTAAAAAATGAAATTAGTACACATGGTTAAAAACTGGCATGATACACAAGTGCTGAAAATGAAAAACAGTGCCCTGCTATTCACCTCTTCTTCTAAGTATTACTCTTTGAAGACGACCACTCATGGCTGTCTCTGGTTTTAGTTCTGCTGGAGTTTATTTATTTCCATACTAAATAATGTGAGTACAGCCATTTCTTGACTTAGGAACTTCAGACATCATCTGTTGACTCCCTGTGAAAGATGATGATGTGGGTCACCTACTACAGTACAAGGGTGGGAGCCCTCCTTGCCCCAGCACCATGACCTCAGCTAAATCCCATGGTGCCTCTGGAAGAGGGGACATTGACCCAGGATGGCTTCTTGGCATGGTGGTGGCCTTATTTATGTCTGCCAAGCTGAAGATGGGAGCACAGAGAAGGGCTAGAGAGGCTCATGCTTGCAGTCTGAGGGGAGGCTTTCTACTCTGGGGAATAGAGGCTTGGGTTTTGAAGAGGTTAATCAACAGGGAGTATGTGATTGTCTCAGATGAGCACATGGTTTATTGCTCCCAAGTGGGCCTGGTGGCACTGGGGAGCCCAGGAATAGGAGCTATTTTATTATAATTGATGTGTGCTGTTGTTCCAGGCAGTGGGAAACTGCAAGGTCACCTGAGATAAGAAGAGCAGAGTGCCAGGAGGTCCTCTGGCCATGTCCAGTGACTGGAAGGGGAAAATGTGGGATGTAATCTGTGTGGTCACATCAGGCCAAGTTTCCTCCATCTTGCTGGGGACCAGGAGAGCATCTTTGGGAACAACTGGGAGCAGGGGCTGAGGCTGGGGCCTGGGAGCAGGTGGCTGCTCCCTGATAATTAGATTGCACCACAGGAGACCTGGGGGGAGTGGGAGCCACAGAAGGGAAAGCTCTGCAACTCTGATCATCTTTCTTACCTACCCTGGGCTTAGTAGCTCACAGAGAACACTGTCACATACCTGTCACCTGTGTCAGCTTCTACTCTTTCAAGGGTCACCTTCCTAGTGTCTTTGGAGAAAAAGGGGGTTTGACTAATATCCACTGAACTGCCCATAGACATTGACTTCCTTGTGGTGGGAGTGTCCTCTCCATCCCAGCTCCACTATGGGTCCACCTCACTTTCCTGCTGTCACCACCTGGAGCTTGAGGGCTGCCATCCCACATGGAGTAAGAACGTGACAGCCTGGTCAGCTCCAGTACAGGAGTGGCTTGGGGAAGGCCACACTTGCCTACATTGCCCTGTCCCTCTTCTCCCCAACACACTTCCATACAGGGCTGAATGGCTCAGAGCCATAGCTGAAGGTAATTACAGAGTTGGAGGAAAAAGGGTGAACCAATGCATGCTTTGGCTGTTTCCATAGTCCAAGGAAAAAATCAGCCAAATAATAAAACTCCCCTCACAGCGCCCTCTCAGGTCCACCCTGATACCTAGCCTCACTTCCTGTGCTTGAGTTGTCTTCTTCATTCCCTTTCTGAGAAACTTCTTCAGTTGTCCAACACACAAAACCTCTGCCTTTTTAAAAATTAAAACTCATACCCTATATCACAGGGTTGCTCTTAGCCCAGAATCCACTCTTTTTATTATGCCTCATACCCAGGACTTCATCCCTAACGGCATCAAGGGAGGGAGAGGAGGAATTTGAGGGATAGTCCAGGGTGGGCGTGTGTACTGTAAGGTCTTATGTCCCTTGGGGATCCCTGTGTCTGTGTGAAAGTAGAACCCTTTCTCATTCCTGGTCTTCCGGCCTGCACACACACACACACACACACACACACACACTCACACTCCACAAATACATACAGAAGTGGAAGTGGAGACAGCACAGAGCCAGCTGCTCTTTATTCATCTTCCACTATGTCCCAAGTCGATTGCTCTAAAGAGAAAGATGATCAAAGACCCTGGACTTTAAAAAAAAAATCACTTTTCTTTACCTTTGGAACAAACATATTCTCAGGCACAGTGCCTTCCTCCCCAGCCTACAGCAATCCTCCAGAAGTGGTGTTGGTGGTGATGGAGTCTTCCACCTGCAGTGGGGTCTTCCACCTGCACGCACGACCTCATCTGATATCACAACAATTCCGTGAAGCTTGGAAGTGGAGGCTGATACAGGCTTTCTGGCTTCCACAAGGTCAGGTGTGGCTGAGCCAGGACTAGAACCCAGGTCTCATGAGTCCAGGCCTAGAGCTTTCTACCACATTGAAATGATAGAGAACATCACTAAAACACGTTGTGGAACTAGTAAAGTAGCGTGAGCATGTGTGAGACAGGGAACCCACAGCACAAAGTAGATAAAGATGTTCCAAAATATTATTTTCCAAGAGAATTTAAGACAGAAGAAACCTGTCTATAATCTTGGAGGTTGTGTTTTTACCCTTCAGCCAAATTTTTCATCACTTACTTTAAGAGGAGTTTGTTTCTTCATCTAAAGGTGGGAGATGTTGGATTATGATTGGGCCTTTTCAACCCTAGCATTCTGTGATATAAAAGCTAACGTGACAAGTGATATGAAGTAAGGAGAATGACCTCCTTTGCTATATGTTGACTCAGGAATGGTCTTGGCAGAGTCTGCAGCAAGACAGCTGATCTTCCCATCCAAACACATCCAAGGTCAGCCAGTTTGCCTGGTCCTACAGCTATAGTAAAGAGACATGCTTGATCTCATGATGGTGAGAAATGATTGGCCATTATCAAGAGCAAGGAACTCATGTCAAATTCTTGGTCAGGTTAAACAGATCTTCAAATGAGACACTTGACATGTAAAAGGAACTTAAGTGGTTAGAGAAAAAGCACTGTCAGCTCACACTGATGAGCTCATGAAGGTCAGACGCCCCATGAAGTGGGGGCCCCTCTTCTGCAAGACTGATGAAAATTGAAAACAATCAAATTTGGCTTGCACAAATAGACAATTATCTGTGAGAATGATGGCTGAAGACTTAATCTGAGATGAAAGGACAGACTCATTTGAGAGGGTGCTTGAGGAGAAAAGTTTCTGTGACAACCATGCTGTGCATTTGAATAATAATCAGAAACAACCAGGGCTTGGCAGTTGTCTGGATCTCTCAAGGGAAGCTGGACAGAGTAAAATATTTTTGAGGCAATGCCTTCTACCTTTGACTCCCCTCTCCAGGCAACTCACAGGGACATTCTTGATCTGGAAGCACTTGTCAAAAAAAAAAAAAAATAGGGGTAATATCTATCTCATAGGTGGTCTTCAAAATAAAATAAGATTATGTTCATGAAATGGCATGCTAACTTGAAAAGACCTCAACTAAGTTGACACTGAAGAGTTCACGAAGGTCAGACATACATGTGAAGTGCATGAAGTATTTCTGTGATTTAGGTGTGCTGTAAGGAAAGGGGGTGAGTGATATCTTGGCAACAGTCATGCCTTGGATATCAGCAATGTGGGTTCTAGCCCTGCTTTGCCACTTGTAGAGAAACCACTTGACACCTGGAGTCTCGTATTTCTCATCTGTAAAATGGGAATTACAAATCTCACCTTGCACAGGTGTGTGATTTAAAGCCAAAACGAATAACATATGGGAAAATGTTGTAAATGCTAATGCACTATGTAAGTGTGAGGACATATTAACATGATTATTCTTGCTTGGGTTCCCAGTTTATGGGATTGAAATTCAGCTGTTCCAATAACAGATGAGCTGGCCTACATTAATAATTACCCCCAAAGTATACTGTTTTCCTTGCCACCTATCACCAATAAATATTTGATTTAAATTTGAAATCTGGCAACGCTGAGAGTCATCAATCCAAATAAATACTCAGCTCTCCGCAAAACAACATTTCCCAGCCAGAGCCTACACCTGCTCGGTGATGCTTGCCTTGCACATGGGCTGAGAGACCTGGCCAGGTGCTGCTGGGGCTGTCAATGATGACTTGCCCATCAGCTACTCAACTACTTGCAGTGGGTGGCCACCGTGCTTAGAACAGCTTGCAGGAATCTGTAGGTAACTACAAAGAAAGAGCAAGCGTTGTCCTAAAATGCTGATAAGCTGATCGAGAGAACGAGAGGAGCACAAATACAATATAGAAAACCTAAGAGATTCTGTGGTAGACAACTATTGTTGCTGCCTGTCTAGCCTTCATCTACCTTCTTCTGGTAAGAAAATCTCTATTTTCCTTCTGTTAACCACCCTTCCCCTATTCTTGCCTATGTGATATTTGAGTGAGACTGACCTTAGCCCTTAGCTTCAGAAGTGGGCACGCAACCCAGGCCTTTTAACCAGAGCTTTGGTGATCGGTTCTGGGAAGGGCAAGTCAGTTTGGCCCAGGTTTAGAGTGCTTGCTCAAATACTAAGAAAAAAATATTTTTCTGAGCCTCAGAATAACTATAAAATGCTTCCTCGTGGTATTTTTAAGCACCTGGACCTAGCTGGGCCTGAGGCTTATTTGGACTTGCTCATTGCCTTAACCAGTGAATTCTTGTTTCTTTGTTTAGTCAATTTGAGGATACCTATAGCCACATAAGTGTTATGGTTTATTCCTTCAGTCTGCATGACACTTATTGGGTGCCTTCTTATGTCGGGCCCTGCGCAGGAAGTTTTGATGAATGACATGAGTTCTTCCCTTACAGAACTTTCAAACTAGCAGATGAGACACAGAGTGTTAAAATACAATATAGTAAGCATGATGATGAATGATATATGTATGAGCTATTAAAAAGCATAAAGTGGAAACCCTTAATTCACCTGTGAGTGGTTCATTTGTAGAGGACCTGGGAAGGCCTTCCACCTCGAGGTGGTAAACCTTGAGAGGCTGCTTAAGGGCTGAGTAGGAATGATCCAGGAAATTATGGAGAGGGAAGGAGATGGATGCTTGTTTTCACCTCTGTGACATAGAGAACAGTGTGTGTGTGTGTGTGTGTGTGTGTGTGTGTGTGTGAGAGAGAGAGAGAGAGAGAGAGAGAGAGAGAGACAGTGAGTGAGTGATTAACGGTTGACAACAGGGGAACTACAAGCAGATCCAAGTTTCTCAAATGAAAATGCAAAATCTCATTGACAGAAGAGCCAGCACGAAGGAGGAGTCAGGATGATGGGAGAAGTCCTCTTCGCCATGGAGGGCCTTGGGACTTCTGTTGGATCTTGATTTCATCCTATAGGTCATGGGGAGCCTGGAAACGTGTAGAGCAGGAGAATGTTTTGAAAGGTCATGGCAGCAGCTATCTGGAGAATGGATTTGAGAAAGACACCCTTGGAGGGAAGGAGACCAGTTAAGAGGTTCTTACTCTAATCCTGATGAGAGGTCTAATTCAGTTTGGAGAGTCAAATGCAGATTAAAGAAATATTTTGCAGGTAAAATTTGTAATATTGGTGGCTGGATGTGGGGGTGAGGAGGAAAAAAGGGTTAACTTTGTACCATTTAATTTTCCTACTAGCAGTATAGAGTTCCAATTTCTCTGTATCTTCACCACCATTTGTTATTAATTTTTATTATCACCATCTTACTAAGTATGAAGTGGTATTCCATTGTGCTTTTTATTTACATTTTCCTGATGGCTAATGATGTTGAGCATCTTTTCATGTGCTTATTGGCATTTGTCTGTCTTTCTGGTGGAAATGTCTGTACACATTCTTTGCTGATTTTAAAATTAGATTATTTTTCTTTATGTTGTTGTGAGAATTCTTCATATATTCTGGATATTAGACCCATTGTCCTTTCACTTTCTTTTTAGTGTTCTTAGAAACACGAAAGTTCATAATTTTGATGTAGTCCAATTTCTTTTTTCCTTTGGTTGCATTTACTTTTGGCGTCATATCGAAAAAACTATTGTCTAATCTAAGGTCATAAAGATTTACACCTGTGTTTTCTTCTAAGAGTTATATAGTTTTGGCTCTTACATTTAGGTTTTTTATTTATTTTAATTATTACGTACGATGTGAAGTAGTGGTTCAACTTCATTATTTTGCATGTGGATGCCCAAGTGCCCCAACACCATTTGTTGAAAAGACTGTTCTTTCCTCATTGAATTGTCTTGGCCCCTTTGTCAAAAATCAGTTGACCATAAGTGTAAGGGTTTATTTCTAGATTCTCAAATGTATTCCAGTGATGTACATGTCTGTTTTTATGACAGTACTACAGTACCTTGGTTACTGTCACTTTGTACTAAGTTTTAAAATTGGTAGGTTCTCTAGCTTTGTTCTTTATGAAGATTGGTTTTAGCTATTTTGAATTCCCTACATACTCATATAAATTTTAACATCAGCTTATCAATTTCTCCAAAAAAGCCAGCTGGGATTTTGACACGGATTATGTTAAATCTGTAGATCAATTTGGCAAGTATTAAACTCTTAATAACAATAAAAGTAAGTCTTCCAGTACATGAACACAGAATATCCTTCCACTTATTTAGGTTTTTTAAAATGTCTTTCAACAATGCTTTATGTTTTTATTGTATAAGTCTTATACTTCTTTTGTTAAATGTTTTTGTAAGTATTTTATTTTTTTGCTGACATTGTAAATCAAATTGTTTTTTAAATTTATTTTTAGGTTGTGTGTGCATTTCTAGTGTATAGAAATACAACTGGGTTTTGTATATTTTTTATCCTGCAAGCTTGCTGAACCCTCTTTATTAGTACTAGTATTATGTGTGCATGTATTTCTTCAGATTTTTAAAATATGTGTGATTATATTATCTGTGAAGAGTTTTTCTTTTTTCTTTGCAGTCTGGATGACTTTATTATTATTGCTAATTGCTGTGGCCAGAACATTTACTACAATGTTGAATACAGGTGGCAAGTGTGAGAATTTTTTCCAGTGTTCCTGATGTTAGGGTAAGGTCTTCAGTCTTTCACCATTAAGTTTGATGTTAGCTGTGGCTTTTTCATAGGTGCCCTTCGTCAGGTTGAAGAAGTCTCCTTCCATTCCTAGGAGGGAATAGTGATGTTGAGAGATTTTACTATGAAAAGTGTTGGATTTTGTCAAGTGCTTTTTCTGCATCTTTTGAGATAATCATGTGCTTGTCTTCTATTATATTAATATAGATTATTACATTGATTGAGTTACATGTGTTGACTCAACCTAACATCCTGGGATAAATTCTACTTGTTCATGGTATATAATCCTTTTTTTAAAAAAATATGTTGTTAGATTTGGCTTTTTAGTATTTTGTTGAGGATTTTGACATCTATATAAGAGAGATTGTTTTCTAGTTTTCTTGTGATTTCTTTGTTTAGCTTTGGTATCAGGGTAAATCAGGGTAATACTGGCTTTATAGAATAAGTTGAGGAGTATTTCATTTTATTCTACTTTTTGGAAAAGTTTGTGAAGAATTACTTTAATTTATGTATACATGATTTTTGTTTTTTATTTTTTATTATACTTTAAGTTTTAGGGTACATGTGCACAACGTGCAGGTTTGTTACATATGTATACATGTGCCATGTTGGTGTGCTGCACCCATTAACTCGTCGTTTACATTAGGTATATCTCCTAATGCTATCCCTCCCCCCTCACCCCACCCCACAACAGGCCCCGGTGTGTGATGTTTTCCTTCCTGTGTCCATGTGTTCTCATTGTTCAATTCCCACCTATGAGTGAGAACATGCGGTGTTTGGTTTTTTGTCCTTGTGACAGTTTGCTGAGAATGATGGTTTCCAGCTTCATCCATGTCCCTACAAAGGACATGAAATCATTTTTTATGGCTGCATAGTTTTCCATGGTGTATATGTGCCACATTTTCTTAATCCAGTCTATCATTGTTGGACATTTGGGTTGGTTCCAAGTCTTTGCTATTGTGAATAGTGCCGTAATAAACACATGTGTGCATGTGTCTTTATAACATCATGATTTATAATCCTTTGGGTATATACCCAGTAATGGGATGGCTAGGTCAAATGGTATTTCTAGTTCTAGATCCCCGAGGGTTCGCCACACTGACTTCCACAATGGTTGAACTAGCTTACAGTCCCACCAACAGTGTAAAAGTGTTCCTATTTCTCCACATCCTCTCCAGCACCTGTTGTTTCCTGACTTTTTAATGATTGCCTTTCTAACAGGTGTGAGATGGTATCTCATTGTAGTTTTGATTTGCATTTCTCTGATGGCCAGTGATGATGAGCATTTTTTCATGTGTCTTTGGGCTGCATAAATGTCTTCTTTTGAGAAGTGTCTGTTCATATCCTTTGCCCACTTGTTGATGGGGTTGTTTTTTTCTTGTAAATTTGTTTGAGTTCTTTGTAGATTCTGGATATTAGCCCTTAGATGAGTAGATTGCAAAAATTTTCTCCCATTCTGTAGGTTGCCTGTTCACTCTGATGGTAGTTTCTTTTGCTGTGCAGAAGCTCTTTGGTTTAATTTGATCCCATTTGTCAATTTTGGCTTTTGTTGCCATTGCTTTTGGTGTTTTAGACATGAAGTCCTTGCCCATGCCTATGTCCTGAATGATATTGCCTAGGTTTTCTTCTAGGGTTTTTATGGTTTTAGGTCTAACATTTAAGTCTTTAATCCGTCTTGAATTAATTTTTGTATAAGGTGTAAGGAAGGGATCCAGTTTCAGCTTTCTACACATGGCTAGCCAGTTTTCCCAGCACCATTTATTAAATAGGGAATCCTTTCCCCATTGCTTGTTTTTCTCAGGTTTGTCAAAGATCAGATAGTTGTAGATATGCAGCATTATTTCTGAGGACTCTGTTCTGTTCCATTGGCCTATATCTCTGTTTTGGTACCAGTACCATGCTGTTTTGGTTACTGTAGCCTTGTAGTATAGTTTGAAGTCAGGTAGCATGATGCCTCCAGCTTTGTTCTTTTGGCTTAGGATTGACTTGGCGATGCGGGCTCTTTTTTGGTTCCATATGAACTTTAAAGTAGTTTTTTCCAATTCTGTGAAGAAAGTCATTGGTAGCTTGATGGGGATGGCATTGAATCTATAAATTACCTTGGGCAGTATGGCCATTTTCATGATATTGATTCTACCTACCCACGAGCATGGAATGTTCTTCCATTTGTTTGTATCCTCTTTTATTTCCTTGAGCAGTGGTTTGTAGTTCTCCTTGAAGAGGTCCTTCACATCCCTTGTAAGTTGGATTCCTAGGTATTTTATTCTCTTTGAAGCAATTGTGAATGGGAGTTCACTCATGATTTGGCTCGCTGTTTGTCTGTTATTGGTGTATAAGAATGCTTGTGATTTTTGCACATTGATTTTGTATCCTGAGACTTTGCTGAAGTTGCTTATCAGCTTAAGGAGATTTTGGGTATGTATACATGATTGACAGAATTCACCAGTGGAATCATCTGCTCCTAACCTTTCTTTCTTTCTTTCTTTTTTTGAGACTGAGTCTTGCTCTGTCACCCAGGCTGGAGTACAGTGGCACAATCTTGGCTCACTGCAACCTCTGTTTTCTGGGTTCAAGCGATTCTCCTGTCTCAGCCTCCTGAGTAGCTGGGATTACAGGTGCACACCACCATGCCTGGCTCATTTTTGTATTTTTAGTAGAGATGGGGTTTTGCCATGTTAGCCAGGCTGGGCTTGAACTCCCGACCTCAGGTGATCCACCCACCTTGGCCTCCCAAAATGCTGGGATTACAGGCCTGAGCCACTGTGCCTGGCCATGGGAAGATTTTTTTTATTACTAAATTCAGTTTATTTACTTGTTATAGGTCTGTTCAGATTTTGTTTCCTTTTAAGTCAGTAGGTTATGTGTTTCTAGGAATTTGTCCATTTCATCTAGGTAATCTAATTTGTGGACATACTTTGTTCATAGTATTATAATTTTTTTCCATTTATGTATGGTTGGTAGTAATGTTCCATCTTTCTTTCTTTTAGTAATTTTAATCTTCTCTTTTTTTTTTCTGGTCATTCAGGCTAAAAGTTTGTCAATTTTATTGATCTTTTCAAAGGACCAATGTTTAAAATTTCTGTTGTTTTTCTATTTTCTATTTCATTTATTTCTGCTCTAATTCCATTATTTTCTTCCTTCTTTTTGCTTTGGGTTTTTACTCGTCTTTTTTCAGTTTCTTGAGGTAGAAGATTACTGACTTGAGAGCTTTCTCCTTTATTTTAATGTAGATAATTCAAAGCTGTAAAATTCCTTCTAAGCACTGCTTTAGCTGCACCTCATATGTTTTGGTATGTTGTGTTTTTGTTTTCATCTATCTCAAAGTATTTTCCTGCTTTTCTTGTAATTTCTTCTTTGACTGATTGGTCACTTCGAAGTATGTTTTAAAAATTTCCACATAATTATACATTCCCCAAATTGACTTCTTTAATTATTTTCTAATTTCATTCCTTGTCATCAGAGAACACACTGTGTGATTTTAATCACTTGAATTCATTTAGGACTGTTTTATGGCCTAACATATCATCCATACTAGAGAATGTTCCATGTGCATTTGAGAAAAATATAAATTCTGCTGTTGTTGGGTACTGTTCTTTAGATGTCTTCTTTGTTGAATTGGTTTGAAGTGTTATTCAATCTTTTATTTCCTCATTGACCTTCTGTGTAGTTGTTCTGTTCATAATTGAAAGTGGGATATTGAAGGCTCCAAATATTATTTTTGTATTGATGATTTTACTCTTCAATTCTGTCAGCTTTTGCTTCATGTATTTTGAGGCTCTGTTGTTAGGTGCATATATGTTTGTAATTATTATATCATCATGATGGGTTTGTCATTTTATCATTGTGAAATGTCATTCTTTAAAAATGTTTTTAATTTTAATTTTTTTTTTTTTTTAGAAATAGGGTCTGCTTTTTTGCCTGTGCTGGAGTGTGGTGGCACAATCATGGCTCACTGCAGCCTTGAATTCCTGGGTTCAAGCTATTCTCTTGTCTCAGCCTTTTGAGTAGCTAGGACTACAGATGTGTGGCACCCTATGCCTGTGTTGGGATCACAGGTGTGAGCCACCATGCTGAATGCCCAAATGTCATTCTTTGTCTCTAGTAACAATTTTTGTCTTAAAATCTATTTGTCTAATATTAGTATAGCCCTTAAATTCTCTTCTGGCTACTGTTTTCATGGTGTATATTTTTTCATCTTTTTTCTTTCAACCTATTTGTGTCTTTGAACCTTAAGTATGTCACCTAAAGAAAGTATATAATTGGGTTATCTTATTGTATCCATTCTGCCAAAATATCCCTTTAATAATTGAGATGTTTATTCCATTTATAATTTAACATAATTACTGGTAAGGTAGCATTTATACCTCTCATTTTGCTTTGTGTTTTCTTATATGTCTTATGTCATTTTTATACCTGTATTTCTCCATTACTACCTTCTTTGTTAAATAGATATTGTCTAATGCACTATTTTAATTTCTTTGTCATTTTTATTACAATATTTTTTGAGTTATTTTCTAAATGATCACCCTGGAGATTCTAATTAACATCTTAATTTACAACAGTTTAGTTCAGATTAATGCCAATTTTCTTTTTTCTTTTTTTTTTTTGAGACAGAGTTTCACTCTTGTCACTCAGGATGGAGTGCAATGGCACAGTCTCAGCTCAATGCAACCTCAGCCTCCCAGGTTCAAACGATTCTCTTGCCTCAGCCTCCCGAGTAGCTGGGATTACAGGTGCCCACCGCCATGTCCAGCTAATTTTTGTATTTTTAGTAGAGACGGGGTTTTGCTACATTGGCCAGGCTGGTCTCAAAATTCCTGACTTCAGGTGATCCAACTGCCTTGGCCTCCCAAACTGCTGGAATTATAGATGTGAGCCACCACACCCGGCCCCAGTTTTCTTTCAATAGATAAAACTTCGCTCTTGTATAGCTCCATTTCCTCCTTCTTTGTAATGTTTTTGTAATACAAATTATATTTTAATATATTGTATGCCCATTGACACAGACATGTAATTACTGTTTTATGCAATTGTCTCTTAAACAAGTTACAAACAAAACTCATTTATGTTTTCTTTTATATTTACCTATGTAGTATCCTTTAATACTCTTTGCATCTTCATGTGTATTTGAGTTCTGCTCTAGTGTCTTTTCATCCTGGAGGACTCACTTTAGCATTTCAGGCAGGTCGGCTAGCAACAAGTTCTCTCAGTTTTGTTCACTGACAGTTCGGTGAACAATTTTCAAGTTCACTGATTCTTTCTTTTGTCTACTCAGATTTGTAGCTGGACCCTTCTAGAGAATATTTTAATTTCAAGTATTATGCTTTTCAGCTCCCAGAAATCCTATCTAGTCCTTTTAACAGTTTTTCTATTATATTTGGTATGATATCATTCTCATGCTTTCCTTAAGTTCTTTAAATATGCTTCCTTTTAGTTTTTTGAACATATTTAAAATAGTATCTTAAAGCTTTTGTTTAATAAGTGCAATGTTTAGACTTCCTCAGGGACAGTTTCTACTGACTGAGTTTTTATTACTGTATGTTTGCCATGCTTTTTTGTTTCTTTGCATGTCTCATAATTTTTATTGGCAACTGGGCATTTTAAGTAATATAATGTGGCAACTCTAGAAATCATATTTTCCCTTCTCTCCAGAGTTTATTTTTGCTGTTTGTTGTTATTAGGTTCATGACTTTCTGAACTCTCTCAAGGCCATATTCTTTGTCATGCATAATCATTGAAGTTTCTGCTCAGTTAGGTTATTGCTTACTAATGATTGGCAGAGATATCCTTAAATGCCTGGAAAGTCTCTCAGTCATTGCTGAGGGGCTCTGTGTGTTTTGGGGTATTCCTTCAACCCTCAACCAGGCCATTGATAATTCTGCCTAAGCCTTTGCTTCCTCTTTGCCCAGAACTTCAATGTCAGCCAACAGTGAGATCTTAGGTTCTTCTCAGGTCTTTCCTGAGTGTGTGTCCCCCATATTCATGCAACTGGCAATCTAGATTCTCAAGAATATGTCTGAGGTTTTTGAAGCTGCCTGTGGACATCTCTCATTCTCCAGTTTTTCTTTTTAAGCTTTTTAATTAGTCTTTTGTTTGCCTCAACTTTTGCCCACCTCCTCAAGCACTGTGATGTTTAACACTGTGACGTTTAACAATTGCCAGGCTGTTCCCACTGGGCAAGTTCCCAGTTACGTCAAATAAACACAACCCTGTAAGTGAGATCTTCTAGGGACCACCAGAGAGGCCAGTTAATGGGAATTCTGTGGGAATGAGACTTTGAAGGTGCTCTAGCCCTGTTCCGCCCCTGCCAGTGGGGCAGCCAGGATGCTGCTTTTCCCGTTGATTGTAACCTGTTGATTTTCAAGGCTACTTTGGAGCTGGGGGTAGGGATGGGGATTAGGACAAGTTAAATGCCACAATGCTCACTGTTTGTCTGTTTTTTTTTTTTTTTTTTTTTAAACTGAGATTCAGCTTTTTGCCTTGAATAAATATTCCCTGGTTTGTATCAAGTCTTTGATTAAATCCCAGAGTTCTGGAAAAGTTGATTCTGATCATTTTTGCCGGTGTTTTAGTTGATTTTATGGAGGAGAGGAGTTTTAGACGTCTTTCCTCTACCATGTTCACTGATGTTACCAGAAGTTTTTTCCATGAGGTAGAAGTAAACACAGGGATGATGAGCTCCAAACACTATACCACAGGGCAAAAGTGGTTGTGGCTAAGGAGGGGGCTAGTGAGTGGGATGCCTCAGGCAAATTTTAAAAGAGGGAAGGCTTATACTTAGAAAAAGACAGAAAATTCTGTTTTTATGTGATTTGAGAGGCAGTCTGGCTCCAAGGTCTCTAAATGAGGATTGCCATATGCAGATGATGGCTAAACGTGTCATCGGGAAATATATCCCCATTCTTAAGAGACAACCTTCTGTGATGCTATCCATCTTCCCAGGTGCTATTCCATCTTCCTCTTCTTTTCTCATGTATAGCTCTCAAAAGAGTGATGTACAGTTTTTCACACTACAGTGTCGTCTTCATCTCATTCCTTTGGCTTTCCCGTCTGTCCAGAGGGACCAGAGGAAGACAGCTTCATAAAGAGAGGCATCCCAGCCTAGATGCTTCCAGTTTAGAGTATGGATCTGGGCTCTTCACATGGAGAGAAAAGACTGGCGCTGAGAAGGATCCTCAGAGGACAGGTTGGCATATTTCAGAGACAAACCATCTGAAGAAACCAAAGAGCCTGGCTCTTTATTAGTCTTGCAAGGGGAGCATGCAGGACAACAGCAGCATGAGATGCTGAGTGGTAGGAAGCATCAAAGGATTTGACTGGGAGGACAGTCATGGTTCCGTTACAGGTAAATATGTATGTTAGGAAAGTCCCTGGTAGCCAGTAACAGAAACTCCTTTGAAAAAGTTGAACAAAAGGGGAAATGACTGGATGGACACAGGGGCATGCTTGTTTGGTGGTCCCCAAGGACAGGGAAGCAGCTCCCTCACTAAGTGCAGGCACTGGGATGAGGAAGCTGGCCGAGCTCTGTCTCCTGCCCCCATCTCTTCTCCTTTGCATGTCTCTGTTCTTCTATTTCTCTGCTTATCTGCTGTCTCTCCCTCTCTGGTCCCTGTGGTAGAATATGGCCACCTCACAGCTCATGCATGTATGCAGTATGAGTCCTGCTACACACAGAAATTGACTGGCATCTCTCAGAGTGTAAGCCTTGGAGCAGAAGGTCTGAGTGCCCCAGTCTAATTCAGGTGTCCTCTTCTGGTCAGATCAGCTATGGCTAAGGGCTGGATTTGCTCAACCAATATAACTGAGGATCCATTTTTGGGCTCACATGAGAAGGGACAGTTCCCAGGGAAAGGGGGAAAGTGATGGTTCATAGGCTATTCAGACATTCCAACTTTCTCTTCTGTAAAATGGCAATAATAATAGTATCCATTTCATTTTTGTTGGGTTGTTTTCTAGTTCACAGGAGAAATATACGCTTTGAAAAGTGTTTGGCATGTAGTAAGTGCTGTACAAATGTTTGCTATTATTTTTCTAATCACTATTACTGAGATACTGATATGCTGAAAATAAAAACCAAGGGAAACATATTGAAAAATAACTTGATGGGATTTTCTTTAGCAGTGTCTTTTTTGTCAAATGGGAGAGAAATATAAAGCATTCCATTTTTAAAATTTATCATAAGAACTACACAAAACAATTTTAAAGTATACATTCATTTACATATAATGCCCAAATAAGAAAAAGAAAACATGGGCTAGAGAGAGAAAAACAGTAAAGAAAAACACAGAAAAAAGAGGCTTTTTGACAGGGAGAGATAGAAAGACAGAAAATCACATAAAGATAGACACCTGGGGAGTGTGAGAGACCTACATATCTATAGACAAGACACACAGAGTGAAATGGAGCAAGAGAGACAAGCAGGCCAATTAACATGCATCGAGAAATGAAATCAAGAAAACAATATAGCCAGCCAGTGAAAGGAAGTAATACTCTCATCTGATACCCTTTGAATACATTGCCATTTATTTCACAAACTGTGAGGTGCTTTCTAAATCAAGGCACAGACTGGGAGGACGTCTCTTGCTACTTGCCCCTTTGGCTAGAATAACGTTAGACTAAGGATCAGAACAGCCTTGATGTAAGGGACTGAAAAGACTTGTACTTTTTGTTTTTTGAGACAGGGTCTTGCTGTGTCACCCAGAGACTGGAGTACAGTGGCAGCTCATGGCAGCCTCCACTTCCTGGGCTCAAGGAATCCTCCCACCTCAGCCTCCCAAGTACCTGGGACTACAGGCATGTGCCACCATGTCTGGCTAATTTTGTTTATTTTTTGTAAGGGCAAGGTCTCACTGCATTATTCAGGCTGGTTTCAAACTCCTGGGCTCAAGCAATCCTCCCACCTCCATCTCCCAAAGTGCTGGAATTACAGACATGAGCCACTGCATTTGGCCAAGACTTGTACTCTTGCTGACAGCCTGTACATAGCCAGATGAAGGCTGATGTTCAACTCAGCCCAGTTCCTATCACCTCTTGTTTTTCTCTATCTGCTCCAGCTCGAGCGAAAGGTGAACCTGTGGCAGGCCAGGTTTCACTAACAGCTGAACAGGCAGGCCTCCGTAACAACTGTTTCAGCACTGACCGAGTGGTTAAGTTAAATATTAAAGGCTGAGGCCGGGCACAGTGGCTCACACCTGTAATCCCAACACTTTGGGAGGCCGAGGCAGGCGGATCATGAGGTCAGGAGATCGAGACCATCCTGGCTAACACGGTGAAACCCTGTCTCTACTAAAAATACAAAAAATTAGCCGGGTGTGGGGGTGGGCGCCTGTAGTCCCAGCTACTCGGGAGGCTGAGGCAGGAGAATGGCGTGAACCTGGGAGGCGGAGTTTGCAGTGAGCCGAGATCACACCACTGCACTCCAGCCTGGGTGACAGAGTGAGACTCTGTCTCAAAAAAAAAAAAAAAAGGGCTGAAAGGGCCAGTGCCCTTTTACAAAGGCTGGAATGTAGCAAAAGCCCACCAAGAGCCTAGGCCTTTCCTGGGACTTGAAGCATGACAAGATAACGAAGGAAATCTTAACACAACCCATTTAGGATAAAGCAAGTTTTACTAGGGGTCTAAAGGAACTCCCCAAACTTCCATGATTTAGCAAGAGACAAGATAAGGGTAATCATTCCCGGCACCTGGACCCATTTAGGTTAAGTAAATTTACTGAGGCTCCAGAGGAAGGTCTTCAAAACTCAGACCTTAGTCACAGATTAGAAGTTAATCAGTTATGTCTTTAGATGAATGCACGCTTGCACATAGACACATAGCTTAGAAAGTATGCAAGCTCTGGAAAACTTTGTAATTTTGAGGTGGTCTGGCAATGTTTTCCAGGCCTTCTCCCTGTACCAGGTTACAGAAATTAACTCTTCTTTCCCAGTTCATTTGCATCTTGTTATTGGGCCACGAGAATAAGCAGCCTGACCCTCAGTTTGGTCCAGGAACAAACCCACTTTTCCTGGATCCCCACCGTATGTCGTGAGTTGAGTTAAAGTGCTCTAAGTGTGTTCCACACCAAATCTTCACATTAACCCTAAGAGATAGGAATCATTGTTTTCATTTTATGGATGAGGAAATTGAGGCATAGAAAGGTCCCACCAACTCCCCAAGATTATGCGCTATTCAAAATACAGCAAATTTGTAATTCTAGGGCTGGCCAACTCAGAGTTTGTGTTTGTTCTCTTATCACCTGTTTTTACTATCTTCAAAGCTAGTCTGCGTCAGGTGCCAGGGATGCAGAAATAAATAAGCCCTGAACCCTACTCTCGAGGAGCTAACACATTAGTAGAGGGAAAGATATATGTTAATACATGAGATTAAGTAATGCAGGTGCAGTCCTAGGTGTCTGTAGTGGGACAGCTGGGTGCAGAGGTGGGGTTGATGAGGATGCAGAGTATGGCCTATAAAGGGGGAAAGTCACTCTCCTCTCCAGTGGTGTCAATGGAATCTGAGTTTTGCCAGGTAAGCAGGATGCTGGAAGGGCCAGATATTATGGTGGCCATGTGTTTTTTATTTATGTACTCCCTTCTCTGATCTGTGAGGGCTATAGACTCTTCCTTCTTTTTGGTTTGGATAAGGGAAAAAACAAGCGCAATTTGGGTTCAACTTCCTGTTTGTCTCTTTTCTGGGGGCACTGCAGAGATTGAGACATGGTTTCATTACAGGAAGGAAAGGCTGGTGCATTTAGACAGGAGAGCTCCTGATGGAGCATATGAGCTTCTGTGCTGAGTTGGAAGTATTCCCTTATCTGGGGTCAGACTGACATGTCCTTGCTTGCTGCTCCTGGCTCCTTGGCCTACATGCTTTGTTTCTGATGATCTCAGAGCCCCTTTGTCCTTACTGGTTCATATAACTGAGGCAGGCATCTCTAGAATGACTGGGGAGAGTGTGGCCTTCTGGGAATCCTACCAGAACTAGGCAACCTCATATAGAAGCCACTGGGCACATCTGACTTTTTTTTTTTTTTTTTTTTAATACGGAGTCTTGCTCTGTAGCCAGGCTGGAGTGCAGTGGCGTGATCTCGGCTCACTGCAACCTCTGCCTCCCAGGTTCAAGCGATTCTCCTGCCTCAGCCTCCTGAGTAGCTGGGACTACAGGGGCATGCCACCACGCCCGGCTAATTTTTGTATTTTTAGTAGAGATGGGGGTTTCTCCATGTTGGCCAGGATGGTCTCGATCTCTTGACCTTGTGATCTGCCCACCTCGGCCTCCCAAAGTGCTGGGGTTACAGGCGTGAGTCACTGTGCCTGGCCACTTGTGACTTCTGAGCAATTGAAATATGGCTATTCTGATTGCCATGTGCTATGAATATTAACTATACACAGGGTTCCAAAGCCCTTGCTATGGAAAAAAGAATGTAAAATATTATAATAATTGTTTACATTGCTTACATGAAATCATGATATTTTGAACATATTGGGTTTAATATTAAAATTAATTTTATCTGTTTGTTTTTACACTTTTTAACATAGATGCTAGAAAACTTAAAGTTACATATGTGGCTCACATTGTATTTCTGTTAGGCAGCACTGCACTGGGCCCCTCCTATTCCTGGAGTAAGGTGGATAAAAGCTACTGCTCATTCTACTGCCACCATTGTGGGAACAACCACATGAAGCCCTTGCGAGGTGGTGGGGCTGTTGGGAGTGGAATAACCAGGCCTGGGGATGTTGGGCATCACTCAGACAGCTATGCCTTTAAGACAGGTGCATACATGCCCGCAGAGCAGCCATGCAACCCTTAGAGGAAACAGCAGTCCAAGGAGGCGAAGCCAGGCTGATTGCATCTCCACAGGTCAGCTACTTGTCATTACCTTTTATGTTGACCTCTGACTCTGGATTCTATCTCTCACCATTTTTCTCAGTATCTAGCATTAGTCGTGGCCCTACATGATGGAACAGGGCCCTTGAGTGCTTCAGTTCTGCGGTTAGTATAGAACTGAACCAAAGACTGTTTGCATTAGAGTGAGCAGGTTCAGGGATGAGAAAGTCCTTCTGTCACCTATCGGCCAGAGCAGTAGCACCGGAGTCCCCTTTCCTGGCTGCTGTTGGAGGCTGGATATGCCCTCCCCCACCATCCACTCTGCCTCTAGGCCTGAGATTGACATTCCTTTAGGACACCAACAGAGTTAGGAGTCTGTGCAGTAGAGACCTCACCCCATGGGCCGAGGTGCATTTGGAGGGTATGATAGAGGCAAGGACAACCTAGAGCCAAGTTGTGTTCTGTCAACTGATGAGTGCTTGCTGAATGTGAGTACTGAATCCTGGGTGTGCCAGCAGGGATTTAGCCAGCAGAGAAATCAAGGAAGTCGGGATGAGGATGCAAGTGTTTGATGAAAGCATTAGAAATCACTTCAAAAACATTGTGCTGCGTGCTACCACTAGCATTACCATAGAATTCTCCCTTCTTCCTTCCTCCCTCTCATCTCCCTCCTTCCTTCTCATCTCCCCACTTCCTTCCTCTGCCTCCCTGCCTCCCTTCCTCCCTTTCTGCTTTCTTCTTTCTCTGTGCTTGGGCGTGAACCTGCCAATGTGTCTTTGCAATCTGAGCTCTGATTTACGTCACTCAGAGGTTTTGCATGGCTGTCACCTCATTAAGGTATTTATGTCCTGGCAGTGCCTGAACTTGAATGTACCTTGAAGGTGTAATTGTGTGTTGCTAATATAATGGCTGGAGTTGCCCATGCAGAGAGTAACATGAGAAAGGTCACTGGGAAGAATGCAAGGTCACAGAGCCACCTGAAGCGTGCTCAGGGTTGATTTGCTCATTTCCTCCAATCCCAGGGTAGGGAAATGTCGTGATGGCAGGTAGGGCTTGTAGAGGGGAATAACTACAGCATGGGCTTGTGCAGATGGAAATGGAGAGGAGTTTATTGTGCTTTCCAAATGGCTAAAAGCCTCACTGAGAATCTGAGAATCTGCGAACAGACACAGCAATAGCCCCAAACCAGATGCCTATAAATATGAATGAACCAATGGGAGAAATGGTCATCTCTCCCCGAAAGATGGCTTACTGTTTCCCTAACACTGGCAAATTAATCTGAAAAACAATATAGGAAGATATTTTCCCCTTCAGAAACAGGTTCAAAATCCAGGCCTTTCTTGGGATCTACTTTCCAGATTCCTTGGGGTACGTGGTGTGAGAGTCATGGCTAGATCGGCCACTGTGATGCTTTTCTTTTCCCACTGCACAGGGAAAGGGTGGCTAACTGTGCCTCAGGGGCCTCTGGCCCCTGAATTGTATCACAATTGTGAATTCAGCCAATTAAGCACCTGCTATGAGATGTACCAGGTGCCGGGAATACAGCAGGGAATCAAACAGCATGGTCCCACTCCCATGTTGCCAACTGACTGGCTGAGGATTCAGACAATATGAACAGTGTGGCAAGTGCTGTCAGGGAGGACAGAGCAGGCTTCCAGTTGCACAAAGAAGAGGCATCTGGCCCAGACGAGGTGAGCTAGGGGGTGCTCCCCAGAGGCAGATGCCCCTGCAAATCTCAGATGCTCAGAATCATGGAAGGGATCTTGGAAGTCATCTAGATCAATGCTTTCAACAGTGAACATACTGAGTCTCAGAGAAGTGAAGTAAAACCCTCAATTTGCACAGCTGGTAAGTGGAAGACCATTCAGGACTCAGGCCTCTTTACTTCAGTCTATTCTGTCCCGCTAAAATTATGAAAATCTTCTTCCATAATATTGGAGTTTGGACCAATTGAATTTTAAGATATAAAAGAATTGATGGGAACCAAAATATTGCTGTTATTAATGCTATAACTGATATAGGAGAATATAGCTATGGTCTTAGGGAAAGGCTGAACTTCACATCTGTTCCTCCTGTCCCACAGGTGCTGGCACCAAGAAAATGCATACACCCTGTGGGCAGCTCACTTTGAAGAGAGAGAGGAGAAGAAAGGGCTGGGCTGCCCCTACTCAAGCTCTTCTTCCAAAAGCAGTACTCAGATGGGTCACTCCATAATTCCCAGGGTCCAGTCAGGGAGCGGTGGGGAGAGGCTGGAGTGGCCTACTAAGGGAGAGCCCTGTTAACAGAGCCTCCTACACAAGGAAGAATCACTAGGAGAGGGGAAGGAACGTGCGAGGCCCCTGCCAACTCCTCTTCCATACTCGTTCGTTTGCGCATTCAACACACTTTTGAGCACCTTCTTTTCCTCTGTGCTCTGTGACAGGAATTCAAACATGAAACTAGATGTGGCCTTGGCTTTCAGAGAAGTCATTCCCTTAGTAGTGAATACTAGTTCCCTGAAGTTTAACATTGGAGGAGAAGGAGTTATTAAACACCCATTCTAAGCAAGAACATCAGTAGCCTACAAAGGGCCTTTTTTCACACTTTGAGTCTGTTGAAGAAAACTCACAGTTGGTATCACTTGCTTTAAAAGTGCCCCCCACTCTGCCTTGTACGGTCCGGATTGCTGTGAGGCCATGACAAGGAACCAAGTTCTGTTTTTCTGTGAAGAGAATGGAATAATCATTTACCTCTTTCCTGTGGCTGCCAGCTGGTCCCTTCACTCAGTCACTCCCTGTTTCTCCTTCCTCCCTTTCCTCTCCCCTTCCAGTACACAGAATCCCTTCTCCATATCCCCCCATGATGAAGGACCACCAGTCATTGGCTCACCTCTCTTCCAAAATTCCAATGACTAGAGTCTTTCTCAGAGTATGTATAACTGATGTCACAGACCCCTGAGTCTGGAAGAGTCTAAGTAAAAGTGGGTGTTGACCTGAATGTAAGTTAGTTTTCTATTGTCTTAGTTTTTGCTCCCCTCAAAAGAGACCCTGAGATGATACGGATGAGATGATATGGATGCAATTAATTTTGTATGTGTGTGTCGGGGGGCAATTCCAGGAAGCAGCAGTAGGGGAGTGAGGAAGGGATCCAGGGAAGGAAACAAGGCCAGCCATGTGTGAGGTTAAAGAGCAGGTAACTGCTCTGGGCACTTGGGGCTGTCTTCCTCTGTGGCCCTCTGAGAGAGCTTTTATGCAACATGTCTCAAAATTGTCCTTTAAAGGGTGAGGAAGCCAGGGTAATGATCCACTGACTCCCATCCTTCACTGGGTGAAGGGCGTTCCTGGGGCTCCAACTCCCTAAAACTTCTAGCCTCCCTTCCACCCCAGAGAACCCCAAAGCAGAGATGCAAACAGAAAGTCATTACGTGGATGGCAGCTATCAACAGTGACCTCCAGGGCAAGCTGGGGTGTAGGCAGGACACTGACCACCTTGGCCATGTCTCAGCTAGTCTTTTATTTCACACTTAAAAAAATTGCTGCACTTATCATACTTTTCAATTTTACATTAATTTGTATATTTATATGTCCCTTAAAGGGTGAGGAAGTCAGGATAATGATCTACTGTAAACCCAATACCTACCTAAGTGCCTGGAATGCAGGAGAGCCTCAATAATTATTTGTTAAGTGAATGAATACATAACTGAATGAATAGAAGCATGAATGAATAGAATCTGTGCTTCTGCAACAGCTTTCTGTTCTCAGAGCGTGACTGGGAGTGCCTCTGGGGCTTTAGTTGCTGGGGAGAGGAGAGGAGGAAGGTGGGAAGCTATGCCTGATTCTAAGTAATTCTTCCCCTGAAAAGTCTCTATAGTAACATGGTATGGCTGTCATTCAAAACATGCCCCCTCCCACCCCTGGAGCTCAAATCTTCCTGGACACTCAAAGATCCCTTTGATGACTCACTCATTTGACAAGTGTAAAGTGCTTACTTTAGACAACCATTATGTTTAGAGCTGTTATACATATGAGAAAGATACAAGACACAAATCTTGCCTTTACAGAATTTATATATAGTCCTGTTCAAGGAACACAATAACCTATGTGAATTGCAAAACAGCTTATGATCAAGCAATGGCTTGTGTATCTCAGATTAAGTACTTGTAGGGTTCAGAATCACCCAAGGGATTCAGTACAGCAAAAGAAGGTGGAATAAGCTGGGAACTTGGAGTGAAACTACTGGGGCTAGTCTCCCTTCTCTATCCCTAGACTGTAAGACTAAAGAGGGCACACACTAGAGTTGATCCAAAGGTAGTGAAGAACTACTCATTATTTAGATCCCACAAAGGCCACATTGTTCTCTGCCCCAAAGATGATCAGAGGATTACGTCGACAGCACCCAAGCCCTCTGGTTTCTGGTTGGGTTTAGCCAATGGAGAGTCCAGTTGGAGGGAGGAGACTGAGGCCAGGAAATTGGCATTCCATAGCACCTTCCCTGTGTTCATCTTGGCATGGTATTGACTCTACCCCACTCTTTTTTTTTCCAGGATTCATTAACTTTACCTTCTCTCATCTCTTTGGATCTTTGCTAGCTCTGGATTCCCTCGTGATCCCTTGAAGTTCCCTACATCTTTCCCATGCCTTTGTAATAAGTCCCTTTGTAAATCAAACCTCTTTGTATTGTCCAGTTTCCATGTGCCATGTTTCCTCTTGGAACCTGACTGATACAGAAAAACCCAGTCCCTGCCCTTAAGGAATTCATGGTCTGGGGGAGAGAGTTCCAGACAAAATTACTCCCAACCAGAAGCAGACTGAAGGCAGCATGCTGGTAGGCAGAGAGGAATATGTGATGATTTAGGTTACAGGTGGCGGGAGGGCCTTTCCAAATGTGCTTTGGGAGTTACAGGTGATGAGATCTCTTTGAGGAGCTGTTCTATCCTATAATTATACTAATTTAATTGTGGCAGTATGATAAACTGAAATTGCAATTGAGTTTTTTTTTTTTTAAATTGGTGCTATACAGTCAGCATTTTTGTACCCCATTTTCATCTCTGGTCTCTGCCCAGGAGCAGCAGCAGGAAACAGCAGCCCCTCAGAAGACAATGGTTCTCCTGGCTTTTGTTTTGCCAAAGTCTGTGCTCCAGAGGGGAATGTGCTGAGCTGCAAGGGAAGAGATGGAGGTAGAGGAAAGTGTTCGGTATCCAAGAGGCTCTAGCTGTTGAAGCTGCCACAAGGGGAAGAGGTTTTTAGACCATCCTCTAAGACCAGAAGGGAGAGAAAATTTTTAGGTTTATTGGGTGGTAGGCACCGGTGCCTTTCCCCTAATGGTAAGAAAATATAGGAGGATGGCAGAATCTCAGCAGAGAATACTACGTGGGGCACCCAGGAGGCTGGACCTGGGGCTCTGGCCACTTAGCCTTAGCCATGAGCCCAGGACAGAGTTGATGCTCACCTTTGTGGGATTTCATGGGCTTGGACAATGACCATATTAGTGATGAACCATGGACCAGAGAGCCATTCCTGAATCACATACTATGGAAGATCCCTGGGAACTTTGCCAATCTTGAGTGAGGAAAGGACGCAAGGTAGTGACCAAAATTAAATTTGCTACTAACCCAGTGGGATAGGACCTCAGAAAAGATTAAATTTTATTTTAGGAGATAAAAGTAATATGAACTTTCTTATGTTCCATGTTGTGGAATAAAATTCATACCTGCTACACATGGAGGCATCATCTAGGACTGACTGCTAAGACTCCCAGTGCAGAACATATCTACCACAGACTGATGATTGCCCTAGCTGTGAGACCAATTGGTTTTGAGGCAATAGCTGTTTCCCTATTGGAACACTGATGGGCAGAGATGAGCGTGAACCCTCAGAGGTCACACCTGATTTGGAGAACAACACGTACCAGTGATGAAACTGAGTTTGAAAGAGTGCTATAGAAAGCTTTAAGCCTCTGAGTTGTTGCAGGGTGGATTAACAAATGTTTGGAAGGAAGAGAACACAAATGTAGCCTTGTTAGATTACCCTGACAATAGTCATTTCTTTGAAATTCCCAAGGAATACAAAGAAAGATTAGACTCACAGAAGAACATCAAGGCCCTATCTGTGATTTTATTTCTAAGAGCAAACAGATGAATAAATAAACAAACAAAATGGAACCTTTTTGGGCTGGGCGTGGTGGCTCTTGCCTGTAATCCCAGCACTTTGGGAGGCCAAGGTGGGTGGAACACAAAGTCAAGAGATCGAGACCATCTGGCCAACATGGTGAAATCCCGTCTCTACTAAAAATACAAAAATTAGCTGGACGTGGTGGCATGCACCTGTTGTCCCAGCTACTCGGAGGCTGAGGCAGGAGAATCGCTTGAACCTGGGAAGCGGAGGTTGCAGTGAGCCAAGATCACACCATTGCACTCCAGCCTGGCAACAGAGTGAGACTCTGTCTCAAAAAAAAAAAAAAAAAAAAGAGGGGGGCGGGGGGCAAAAGATCTAAACAGATACCTCACTAAAAAAGATATAAAAATAGCAAACAAGCATATGAAAAGATGTTCAACATCATTTTATTAGGGATTGCAAATTTAAATAGTACAATGAGATACCACTATATACCTATTACTAAACCCAGTGGGATAGGACTAAAATCCAAAAAAAAAAAAAAAAAAAAAAAAGCAAAAAAGCTAACCCTGAAAACATCAAATACTGGCAAGGATGTCAAGCACCAAGAACTCTTCATTCATTGCTAATGGGAATCAAAATGGTACAGCCACTTTGGAAGACAGTTTGGTGGTTTCTCACAAGGCTAAGCATAGTCTTGTCACATGATTTGACCATTGTGCTCCTAGGTATTTACTCAAACTTGAAGCAATCAGGATGTCTTTTGAAAGGCGAATGGATAGTCAAAAGACACATGTATGTGCATGTTTGTTGCAGCACTATTCACAATAGCAAGGGCATGGAATCAATCCAAATGCCCGTTGATGATAAACTGGATAAAGAAAATGTGGTACATATATACCATGGAATGCTATGCAGACATAAAAAGGAACAAGATTCTATCCTTTGCAGGAACATGGATGGAGCAGGGGGCCATTATCCTTAGCAAACTAATGCAGGAACAGAAAACCAAATACCACATGTTTTCACTTATAAGTGGGAGCTAAATGATGAGAACACATGGACACATAGTGGGGAACAACACACACTGAGGCCTGGTGTGGGGGGTGGGGGGAGGGAGAGAATCAGGAAGAATAGCTAGTGGATGCTGGGATTAATACCTGGGTGATGGGATGATCTGTGCAGCAAACCACCATGGCACATGTTTACCTGTGTAACAAACCTGCACATCTTGTACATATATCCCTGAACTTAAAAGGTTGGAAATAAAGCAAAAAAAAAAAAAACCCAAAAATATAAAAAAAGGTGAATGGATAATCAAATTGTGGTACATCCATACAATGGAATATTCAGTGATAAGAAATGAACTATCAAGCCATGAAAAGACATAGAGGAAACTTAAATGCATATTATTTAATGAAAAGCCAGTCTGAAAAAGCTACATACTATATGAGTCCAACTATATGACATTCTAGAAAAGTCACCGTGTTGTAAGGAAGTCCCAGCTACACAGGGAGGTCATGCAATGGTGTTCCAGCCTATGGTAGCAGCTAATGCCCCAGACTACAGACAGCATTGACTAATAGATATGTAAGTGTATGAGCCGTCAGATAATTCTAGCCCCCAGCTGTCAAGATACTCCCAGCCTTCTAGCCTGCCGAGGACTCAGTTATCTCAAGCAGAAGCTAACAACCCCTACTGTGCCCTGTCTGAATGCCTAATGCATAGAATTCATGAGCATAATAAATGCTTGTTTTGTAACAGTAAACGGTAGGATAACTTGCAGTAAATGACTAGACTGTATATCTTTATAGCAATACTTACCTGGAATATATATCTCATATTCTGGCTACTAATTAATTGGTAGGGAATTCTTTGTGATGTCTGTCCTGGAAGACTCAGAGACAAAAACATTTAGAAAAGAAAGGAGGTTTATTTGCAAAGAAGTACAAGATAGAGGACTGGCTTTCCAAATAAAAAGACAAAACAACTGAATTCTTATGTTAGTTTCCTATGGCCTCTGTAACAAATTATCCAAAATGTAGTGGCTTGAAACACCACCAATTTATTGTCTTAAATTCTATAGATCAGACATCCAAAATGGGTTTCACGGGGCTAAAATCAAGGTGTCAGCAGAGCTCCATCCCTCCTGGAGGCTCTGGAGGGAATTCGTTGTCTTGCCTTTTTCTAGCTTCTCAAGGCTGCCCAGTTCCCTGGCTCCATTCTTCCACCTCCAAAGCCAGCAGAATTGGGCTCTTTCTTATGCTGCCATCTCCTTGGATCTCCCTCTTCTCCTTCTCTCTTCCACTTACAAGGACCCTTCTGATTACACTGGGCCCACTCACATACTCCAGGATAATCTCCCCATCTCAATGTCAGCTGGTTAGTAACCTTAATTCCATCTGCAACCTTAATTCTCCTTTTCCATATCGCCTTACGTTTTCACAGGTTCTGGGGATTAGGGCATGGATATCCTTGGGGGCCATCATTCTGCGTACAAAAGTTCCAAACTAGCTTTCATATCAATTATAGGATGACAGTGGAGGTAGTTATTTGCATTCGTTAAGTGGTTGAGAGTACGTTTTATACGCTTTCTCATGCCTCTACAAACTTTGCATGTATTAGAGTCTCAATAAATGTTTGTTAACGGTCCCTCTCCCCAACACGTGTAAGTAGTGAAAGTAATCCTATTCATTTACCAATCACATTGTTCCAAATGGAGAGAAGGAAAAATTAAAATGACAGGCAAAGCCATCTGAAACCTACCTGTGATATAATAACCTGCCCTTCTTGTTCCGATTTATCTCATTGAATTCTTAGAGCAATGTTATGAAATAAGGGGATGGGGCTTTATCTGCATTTTATGCATGTAAGGAGGATGAATGAGCTCTCTAAAGTCACCCGGGATCTCTATATAGCCAGCGTTGAGCTCTACCTCCTGTTTCCAAACCCAGTGCCATTCTCTTACACACTTGATTTCTGAGCTTCCCTTGGCCTCTTCTTGGGCAGGTGAATTTTCTGTATGTGTCAAAATCTAATGTTTGCCTTTTTCTTCTCTTCCTTATTCCCTTTGCTGGACTATGGGGTTTTTATCATATCCACTCTGTCCTGTGATTTTATTTCCAGCCTATTCTTTGAACGTAGCTTGATATTTTAGGGCAGGGGTGTCCAATCTTTTGGCTTCCCTGGGCCACACTGGGAGAAGAATTGTCTTGGGCCAGACATAAAATACACTAAACGCTAACGATAGCTGATGAGCTAAAAAAAAAATGCCAAAAAAATCATCATATTTTAAGAAAGTTTATTAATTTGTGTTGGGCTGCATTCAAAGCTGTCCTGGGCCACATGCATCCTGTGGGCCGCAGGTTGGACAAGCTTGTTTTAGGGCATCCTCAGGCACCAGCCAAAGAAAGCCAGGACAGGGCAGTTGTGTGAGCCTTGATTTCACTCTCCTTTCCTGCATGCAGATGCCCTACATTTTGTGCTATCATATCAGCGCATTTGGGCTGCAACAGCTGATAAAGTCCAAATTCACTCTAAAGGTCATTATCGAACTCCCATGTCTTTTAGGGTTATCAGGAGCAGAGAGAGCCAGTGTCATCAACAGTGCTCTCAACTGGGCACTCAATAACTTAACTTTCTACTTAAAAATATTTATGGATATATTTGAAAAAGTGGAATTGTTCACGGTTACTCAGCCAGTTAGTAGCAGACATAGGACTAGAATACAATCTACTTCCCCGGCTATGCTGATCATCATCAGTTTATTACAGAGAGCATCAGGGCAAGATGGTGTGGTCAGGGGTGAGGGCTGCTCATCTCCATCTGTCCTCAAATGTCATTTTCTGAGCATTTTCAAGTTCAGAAATCTGCTGACACTGGAAGATCTCAGGTACAAAGAATAGGGCAGAGCTTGGAGTGAGATTGGGGTTTGAATCCCAGCTTTACTAGTCATTAGTTCTGGGAAAGTTTGTTAAATAATTCTGACCCTTATATTCTTCTGTTTTCCTTCCTTACATTTTTATGTAATGAGAATAATTATGCCTATCTTTCAAAGACCATTGAGAGAAATAAATGATATGGTTCACATGAAAACATGTGACAAAGTATGTGACATAGCAAGTGTCCAGTAAACACCTTTCTTTTCCCTTCCTGCCTGTGATGCATTCAGCCACTCCTCGACTCTGTTCCTGAGAAGACACTGAGTGTAGCTAAGGCATATCTGGTAACTGAAATTGTAGGCTTGGTTTTGCTATGGGTACCCTAGGTATGATGCATCCTATTTCTGTACACGGGTTTTGTTCCATCCATCAAAATGTGGGTAGTCAAGCCTTACCCTCTCCAAACCTCATGAGGTTTGGTGACTAAGCTTTTAGGACTGAAAAACCTATAGGACAACAGAGAAAGAGAAAAGGTCCAGCCTCTAATCTCACTGTACCAGTGAGTAGAAAATAAACAACTAGAACTATTTGCCAGCAATCAAGAACTATAAATATTTCAGGATGAAATGAATTTAGAATTGGTAAAAAGCACTTGATTAATAGCTCCAGAGATTGAAATCCTTTATCAATGTAGTTACTATTGTTAACAGACTCATATTGAACAGCCACTGTGCTCTAGGTAGACTTCAAATAAGAGTATTTAAACACAGCCCCTCCCCAGTGTCTACAATGAAAGGAAATAGCAAATAAGCCAAGCATGAATAAATAAGAGATGTGCTTTATAAAGGGAGCAGGGGGTGGGATTAGACTCAGCATGGATCAGGAGACCCTCAGAGCACCGGAACGTGTCTTGGGGCTCCAAGAGAAGGGCTGGGGAACTAGGCACTTGTTCAAAGGAAGGCAGTGGGAATGATAAAATAAGCTCTGAAGGAAGGTTAAATGCTTCAGGCTGATTGCCCTGCAGAAGAAAGGGTTGAGAGGTCTGCCTTACTCAGGTGATCACACCCCAACTGCCCATTGCATGCACATCCATCCTCCTCTCAGCTATCTCCTCTCCTGCCCCTTATTCTCCTTGTGGTCAGTTTCCAGTTTTACCAGACTACAAGTCCTCTGAAGACAAGATCTTATCTTATTTTTGAATGTCAGACCACTGATGACCACTGGTGCTTGTACAGACTAAAGTGCTTCTTTCATGTTTGTTGGACTATTGAGTGATTGGAAGGGAGCATGGATGCCAGCTAGTGGGGCCACAGCTGGTTCATAGTACTGAGAAAATACAGGTTCTTTGTCACTACTTAAGAAAGTTTCCTCACACATTGTTGGTGAGGGAAAGGGGGACTAGTCATTTGACTGTCACAATGTACATCTATTGGTTGCTCACCTAGCATCCTATCCTGCTTTCCCCTCTTTCTAACAGCAACCAGAATTTCTCCTTGTGATATAGCTGAGGTGGGGGTTACCTCATCCTGGGCCTATTACCGTAAGCTCATTTTCCTTGCCTGGGCATTGGTCTAGGACTGGAGGATGACCCAGGCTTAAGCTAATCAGTGCATGGCCATTCCTTGGCCACTTTGATTCTTTCAAGTTGGTCCAAATCAGAGTGAAGCTTATCTGTCTGTTTCAAGTTCTGGAGAAGAAAAGGGTCACTTCTCTTTTCCCTCTGGATGATGTAGGGCATGAATATTATGTTGAAATCACTGTAACCACTTTGCTTCTATGAGGGAAACCGGATGAAGCCTCACATGAGTAAGGGCAGAACCAGAGAAACAGAACAGGAGCATGGATCAAGCTGCACCAAAGACCCTTCTCCCTTGTGCTTTTCTGTTATGAATCAATACATTCTCTTTATGTTTAAGTCCATTTGATGTGGATTTGATTAGTACATCTAACAATGCATGCTGAATGATGCAACCGTAATTCTGCCATTAAACTTGCAAACTGCGAGACAGTGGCACAGTGGTTGGGAATCTAGTTTGGCTCCACCACTCCATCACCAGCTGTGGTACTGGGAGAGTTATTTGAACTTTCTGAGACTCAGCATTTCTCATAAGAGAGTAGAGTGAGGATAATAATAGGCTTGTGAGGATTAAATGAGATGCTGCATGTCACTGCTAAGTATAGAATGAGAGCTCAAAAGAGAGTAGCACAACAGTGCTTACGTAAACCACACAGCCTTGAAGCATCCTGCCTGGGATTTTAAGTGTAAAATGATACCTCTGGAGTTACGAGTGAATTTTCTTATCCTATTTCTCTTAGTCTCAACTTTAAGTTCATTGTGTCTACTTCTTAGAAGGTCAAGGCAACTCAAATGGCTTATTATTAATAACACCTTCCATTTTATTGTGTTGTACTCATTGTACTGGTCATGGTTCTCCAGAGAAACAGAACCAATAGGATGAATGGAGATCAACCAATCAATCAACCATCTGTCTGTCAAAATAAACTTATTATAAGACATTGACTCACAGAATTATGGAGGCTGAGAAATCCCAAGATCTGCAGTTGGCAAGTTGGAAACCCAGGAAAGCTTGTAGTGTAAGTTCCATTCCAAGTCTGAAGGCTGGTGAACCAGGAGAGCTGATGACGTGAGTTCCAGTCTGAGGGCAGGAGAGGACCCATGTCCCAGCTCAAGCAGTCAGGAAGGTGAAACTTCCTCTTGCTCAGCTTTTTTGTTCTATTTAGGTTTTCAACTGATTGGATGGAGTCCACTCATGCTAGGAAGGGCAATTTGCTTTACTCAGTCTACTGATTCAAATGTTAATTTTATCCAGAAACACTTTCACAGACACACCCAAAATAGTGTTTGACCAAATATCTGAGCACCCCGTGACCTATTTAAGCTGACATATAAAATAACCATCACACTCATAAATCCGAAGATGTCTGTTGAATACCTCCTGTGTGCCAGGTATTGTTCTAGGCACTGGAGATATGGGAGTGGGAAAAAGGGGAGAAAAAAAATCCCTATTCTCATGCAGGTGTTTTTTTTTTTTTATGAAAGTTTCTTAATAGTTTAGAAATGGTTTTCTCTTTATTGTCTTATTTAATCCTCAGTATTCCTGTGGGGTTGTTTGACAAGAATTATATCTTTGCCATACAAAGGAGGAGATGGAGACACAGAGAGATTAAGTCACTGACTTGGCCAAGGCCGCAGTGCTCGAAGCAGTAGAAACAAGACTAGAAATGAAATCCCCTGAATCCAGTACAATGTTCTTTTCACTTTAGTAGATTTTTTTCATATCTGTTTACCTGCAGAGAGCTGCAAAATGGAGAAGAGTCTATTTACAGAATTACCCATCTCCACTCTGCAATGTGTTTAGGGATGGACAGTGCAATATGAATTGTCAAATCATTCATAAATAATAGTGTGATTACTACTAGTACTCATTCAGCAGAACACAGTCTAACAGACTTTCACGGCTTTGTCCAATGAGAAACTGCATTTGAGTAACACACTTGGGTTGGCATCAGTTGACCACTAAATTCTCAACCTAAGACGAGCTCTTGCTTTGTTTAATGGCTCTCAAAATGTTCACGTGCCAGAGAGCACAAAACAGCACTCTTTCTTGTTTTTCCATCCTTCTAAAACCATGAGAAATTATTTAAGGAAGTTTTAATGAAATGCATCTGTCACTTATTAAGATGGATGGCTGGAGTGCAGCTTTCCATTACTGGAAATGGCAGAATCAAATTAGGAAATAACAGTCCTCAGCATCTTCTCCAACTGGCTTTTGCATAATGTGTTGGGAAAAATGCCACCTCGGCAGAAAACTGCTGTTTTGAGGGCCAATGTTATTTCCCCAAAGGGGCTGTGTTTACCAATAAGGTTCCTCTTCCTTTTGAGCAGGTGAAATGGCTGCCCTTGGAAGTGAAGCTCCCTGGCCTGGGATGTTTTTTGGTGTTTGGAGGTTGGAGACTCTGTTTCATAGTCCAGGAGGCTTGGATAAGTTCTTCTGGGCTGTGTGTATGTGTGTGTGTGTGTGTGTGTGTGTGTGTGTGTGTGTGTGCGCGCATATATATATATATATATATATATATTTTTTTTTTTTTAAGACAGAGTCTTGCTCTGTCGCCTAGGCTGGAGTGCAGTGGCAGGATCTCGGCTCACTGCAACCTCTACCTCCTGGGTTCAAGCGATTCTCCCACCTCAGCCTCCTACGTAGCTGGGATTACAGGCACCCACCACCATACCCAGCTAATTTTTGTATTTTTAGTAGAAACTGGGTTTCACCATGTTGGCCAGGCTGGTCTCGAACTCCTGACCTCAAGTGATCCTCCTGCCTCGGCCTCCCAAAGTGCTGAGATTACAGGCATGAGCCATCATGCCTGGCCTGCTGTATACTTCTCTAAGTCAGAAGTCTTGGCTTCTGATTTGGCTTTTAAGCTTTTAATTTCTCCTTCCTTATTGTTCCAAGCAGCACTCATTCAACAAATACTGGACATCTACTATGTGGCTAGCACTCTGTTGACACTGGGGTTACCAGCAAGAGCAAAACAATGTCCCTGCTTCATCTTGCTACTGTGCCAGATGGGGATACAATAGATAAAGTTCAGAGAGTGTTGCGTGCTCTCAAGGTAATAAAAGCAACAAAGTAGAGTGGGTTCGGGAGGGGTTTATTAGAAAGAATAAAAACTCTTTCACAAGCCATGAAACCCAAGCCCTTATTTTAGGATAATATAATGATTATGTTTCCGAGGAAAAAAATGTGCAGTTCGCATTTTTGTCGTTGTTAAAAAGGGCTTTGCGATCATGTAATTTATTTTCCATCTAAACAGAGGCATCTGTTTTTCAACATACTGATAGATGATGATTGGCTAGCCACCTTCGCCTAAGTACATCCAAAGTCAAATTCCCCCAATGAGAAATCAGATCAACTCAGAATGCTTGTTAATCATATAGTCTTTCGGCAAACATTCATTGAGCTTCTACTATGTCCCAGGCAGGGTGCTAGGTACTAAGGGAAGCGCAATAAACAGGATGCACTGAGCATCACCAGCATCCTTTCATTTCCATAGCACTTTATTGTTTATGAAGAGGTTCCATGTGCATGATTTTATCCTTTCAGTCACCCTGCAAAGTAGGTAGGACAGATATGATGGAGAGATTGAAGTTTATGATTGTCATTAATGCTGTTCTCCAGATACTCCTGGTGTTCGGCTTTCTGAGCATAACTCTTTTAAGTAGTTGTGTAGTTGTGCTGTGTGATGTACTCTCGCCAATGAAATATGAGGAAAGGATCACGTCACTTGGGAATGGTCTCGAAGAGGGCCTTTCCCTTCCCACTTTTGTGGGCAATCGTGGATGCTCACATGTACGTCACCAGCTTGCTGAGTGACACCACAGTGAGCAAAGACCCCTGCTGCTCCACATGGATGTGTAGTATGAGTGAGGAATTAAACTTTTGCCATATTAAGCTATGGAATTTTTGCAATTTTGTGACTGACCCATAACCTGGCCCAAGGAATATAAGGTTCCATTTGATCACCTTTCTTCACTGGGATCTTACTATCTTGTGGGGAAACATTGGCATCTCAGAGGGAGTCCGTTTCATTGTTAGAAAGTTCTGGCCGGGAGCGGTGGCTCACGCCAGTAATCCCAGCACTCGGGGAGGCCGAGGCGGGTGGATCATGAGGTCAGGAGATCGAGAACATCCTCGCTAACACGGTGAAACCCCATCTCTACTAAAAAATACAAAAAATTAGCCGGGCGTGGTGGCAGGCGCCTGTAGTCCCAGCTACCCAGGAGGCTGAGGCAGGAGAATAGCGTGAACCTAGGAGGCGGAGCTTGCAGTAAGCCAAGATCACGCCACTGCACTCCAGCCTGGGCGACAGAGCGAGACTCCGTCTCAAAAAAACAAAAAAACAAAAAAACAAAAAAAAACCAAAAAACAAAAAACCAAAAAAAAAAAAAAAAGTTCTAATAGTTGGGAAGTTCTCCTGTCAAAATTGAAATACAATCTGCTTTCCCATCATCCTTCTGCCTCTGGAGTATCAAGGGAGAAGGGAGTTCCCTATGTGGTGGCTCTCCACACGATGTGGCAGCTGTCATGCCTCCCTTCAGAGCTCTCTTCTCCAGGAGAAATGTGGCTGACGTGGTTCCCTGATGCCTCGTGATTCTTGTTCCCAGTCTCTAGATACAACGACTCACCAGTGCTGCTTTTAAATGGGGACATAATTGTCTTCAGGTGTTTTCTGACCACATCTACTGCAACGAAATCTTTATATATATGTATGCTCAGGCAACAAAATAAATGAGTCATGGCAGGCAAAGGCTGTGTTAGCCACATTCATTATTGTATTCCCAGAACCTAACCCAGTACCTGGATCATAGAAGGTACTCAGTGGATCCCTGAAGAATAAATAAATTCATAGCATATGGAAAGCAAGGTTATGACCCAGCATTCTGAGTTTTGAGAGTGAAATGAGTGCTTTGGTAACTATCAATAACATCTGCAACTCTGAAGGTGGTGAGTGTTGGGTGAGGCCCTGTAACATGACTTTAATATGAACAGAGACATGTGTGACCTTGACTTATATTTTGGATATCTATGACACAAGAAATTTCCTGAGCGTTTTACCCAAAAGGGTAAAAACCTTAAATAAGGAATTGTTGCCACTCATTGTACCATACAAGGATCCCATCAGCAATGGCTTAATATTCTGTAGAAAATGTGGATAGGACTGGTTGTTGGCCAGGGTATCCTCTAGTGCTAAGATGACTACTTGAGGTTTATCCAGCTTTGCGGACCTTGGGTCCTGGATATTAGAGACGTCTCCATTAGGAAATGGAAAACAGCAGCTCTCCATTGGGTTTTATCACATGTGATGGTGGCACTATCAACCCTTATGTATAGACTCTCTTTTCTGGTCACTCAGTTGATACCAAGGGGCACCCTAGTGGCCAGTGGGTCTGGGAGAGGGGTGACCTCCTCTGGCGCCACTGCATTTGGCAAGGGATTGAGGACCAGGGAAGCCATTTTCTTCTGTAGTCAGGATATGCCAGAGGGTGCAGGTTTGGCTCTATCTTGTAGGTACCGTTTCCATGTTCAATAAAGAGGCTTCTGTAGCCATGCTGATTCTGTGCTCCTGCCTCCCTGACCCAAGGCACAGAGGCAGCTGAGTAAAGACCAGTCTGGTAGAGCTGGGTGAACGCTGGGCTCAGGACCTGTGAAAGCTTCCATTAATCTCCAGAGGACTCCAGTATATAGCCAGAGGTTGCTGCTCTAGAGAGCCAAAGAATTTCATGTACTGAAGCCCGTGAGCAATTTATGGCCATCACACGTAGTCCAGAGACTTCAGGAGGCGCAAGAGGAGGTTGTCAATGCTTCTATATAGAAGGAGTCTTAAGGAGGCATTAATGGGATTGCCTGTTGCATTTGAACAGATTTTAGAGCCTTCTGTTGTACGGGGCCCCATTCAAAGTAGGCTGATTTGTGAGTAACAGCATAAATGGGCTGAAGTCAAATTTGCAAGTGAGAAATACGTTGCCTCCAAAATCCAAATAGAACCAGTAAGTGTGGAGCCTGCTTTAAAGTAGTCGCTGCCAATAAGGTGAAGATTTGATTCTTTCCTGTAATGGGTATGGATTATCCCTCACCTGACCAAATAGCACCCAGCAATTTTACTGAAGTGGTATAGTCTTGAATCTTACAGGGCACAATGGCTCAGCCCCAGTTGGAAAAGTTCTGTGACAAATGTTTGTGTCTTCTATGTGAGTATATCCTTTAAATACCTTCAGAGAAGGATGCCATCAGTGCAGTGTCATACTCGTGTTCCTAGAGAAAATTGGATGTTGTTAAGATCTTGCCTGCAAAGACTGAGTGAGATGGCAGAGTTGTTGAAATACTCCATGGTGGAGGAAAATGAAGGTTTATTGTGTTTCTTCAAGGGCAAGGGCAAATCTCAGCTGAGAGGCTGTCAAAATAGGCACAGAAGAGGACACCTTAGCCAAGTCTATTACAACAAAATACCTTTCAGTTGCTAAAGAATGGTCAGTAATGTCAATGATATTAGATATGGGGACCTTATTGAGGGTACCATGGCATTAAGGCTGTGTTAAACCACTCTCAGGCATCATCTATTTCCATCAGGGGTGAGCACTGGCCAAATTGGGTTATTAAAGTGGGAGACAGCAGCAACAATGACCCTTTCTTTCAGTAAGTCTTATATAATGGGTCAATTCCTGTAGCCCTTGTTTCAAAGTATATGCAGCTATACTATTTTAACTGGTGGAAAGGGGGTGTGGAAATGGACTCCATTTTGCAAAACCAACTGTAAGTACTAATTACTTAATTTTATTCCAATTTATTGCTCATTGGGTTTGGGCATCCATGCCAACTATAAGGTATTTTAGGGTAGTGAGTGCTATCTATGACCATGGGGAATTTAGGTAAGGTAATTGTTCTGACAGTTAAGGTGAGGGATAGGTGTCTGTCCTACATTTTATGTCTTATACTTTCCCTAAGAGTATAAGGGTATCTACTTTAAGTTTCATGGGATCCCAGGCGTAGCTATAACTTGAGCCTAGTATTGATTAAGGCAGTGAAGATTTGCAAATATGAGGAGACCAATGAACTACCAGAGAGGTATAGGGACAGTTGTCCTAGTGGGTGGCTGGTGTCCTGGGGAGAAGCTGAGTCCCTAGCTGGCTTGTGGCAGTTGCCATTACCTAAAAACCGGATATTGGACAATGAGCCCTTGGGGTGTCAGGGATATGGGAGTCATGGAAGCCTGGAGCCACCTTGCTGTATATCTGATGCTGCCTGGCACTGGGAGCCATAACTTCCCCACAGTCTGTTATAATCAATCTTGTAATTCTTCAAGGGTTTTGCCCAAGAGAAAATGATTTGAGAAACCTAGATTGTGGAGTCTCCAATATCAGGCCTTTGGATTGGGATCTTGGTTTTGGGGAAGCTGATTGTCTGGAGGTCCCTCATGAGGACACTGCCTCCTTTATGACTCCTACTCCTTTGATTATTTCATTGATAGGAAACATTTATTGGGTTTCATCTTATTTATTTACTTATTTTTATGTTTTTGAGATGGAGTCTCACTCTGTCGCCCAGACAGTAGCACCATCTCGGCTCACTGCAACCTCCACCTCCCGGGTTCAAGCAATTCTCCTGCCTCAGCCTCCCTAGTAGCTGGGATTACAGGCATCTGCCACCAAGCCTGGCTAATTTTTGTATTTTTTAGTAGAGGCGAGGTTTCACCATGTTGGCCAGGCTGGTCTCAAACTCCTAACCTCATGTGATCCACCTGCCTCAGCCTCCCAAAGTGCTGGGATTACAGGCATGAGCCACTGCGCCCAGCCTCATCTTATTCTTTATGGGCAACTAATAGCTCTAGGCCATCCAATGCTTCCCTAATGGTCATAAGGTGGCTAATAAGGAGGAGTAAGACTGCCTGAGAATTTGAGAATGCCCTTCTTAAAAATAATTGCCTTGTATCAGCATCAAAAGGTCCTGCTCGGGGCTAGTAAGAGCCTCTGGTACATCAGAATATTCAGCAAAACAATAATAAACCCATTGCACCATACCAATTTTTCTCAATAGATGTTGTCCTTCCTCCCAGGGTTTCCAACTAGTGAAGGCATGAGCATTTGCAGTGGTGGCCATGGGCTGGGCTATTTTCCCTGTCAGCAACACCCAGTAGATGAGAGGACAGACCGGGAGAGGAGCTCTAGAACACTGCAGAGGGCATGGATTATGTGCTCATTTCAATAGATTAAATGGATTTCTTAAAAAATTATTAATTTGGGGATCACAAAAAAATGGCCTGACAATCAGCTCATCTCTACAGATGCTACAGTAAATTCTGAATGAGTGTTATAGAGGTGCCAAAGTCAGTTGGCTCCCTGTTCATCTTCCTGTTGAATAAATTCTTGTAGTAAATTTTCAGTCAGTTCAACTGACAGACTGTTTCCTTTTCTGCTTCTTCTACCTGAATACAATTTTTTGAGTAGTTATAAGAAACACTTCAGGGAAGGTCTTCCCCTGTCCCATTTTTGAGTTTTTCCATTAAGAGAATTCCAGTCAATGGCACTAGGATCAGGAGCTTGACCCTCCATGTATCCCCACTCCTCAATATTACCTGTTTTGAAGGCTTAGGGGCCTCTGCTCCTAGTGGAGTTGCAACAGCCCCTTCATATACTGATGCTTGGTGGCACCCGCAGTGTTTGGTGATCACTTTTTCAATTTTCCAATACATGTATAGTTTGCTCTGGCCCCTTTGGAAGAACTGGGGTGAGATATTCTGGTCCACTGTTCATTAGGCTCTGTGCCACAGGGCATCTGAGATCTCCCACTCTCGAATACTGAAGATCAGGCTCTTTACTTGTGACAGAAGCAAAGCAGCAACAACAGCAGAGACACTTTGAGCCTCACAGAGTCCAGGTGAGCCAGTGCCCTTGGGCTGTCCCTCGGTGCACCCCATGTAGTTGCTGTTCCTCACCTGAATGACTACCTGAATGGACCCACACATTGTACAGGACACCAGCTTTTCCCTGAGTGCCCTGTAGAACAGGGGTTAGTACCTGGTTGGTGCACGCAAACAACAGTCAGAGGGCAAGAGTTGTTCCCTGAGCCGAGAGTCAGTCAGTCTCAGCTTATGCTGGAATCAAGATAGATGATTCAGTCTGAGGCACGTGGCTCCATCTGGGCCATGACACACTCCCCAGAGCAACTCTAAGGAGGGCACCAATCCTATTTAGGGACCCCAGTCCCTAAATGCCAATTATTGAAACTTCTCATTTAAGGCCATTAAATCTATAGCAGAGTCTCAGCAGGACTTGGCAAATGCAGCACAAACTAGCACAGCTCAAAGTGTAGGCTCGCCAGCAAGCAGCAGCACCACTCAAAGAGCACACTGGCCAGCAGGCAGCAGCGCCAGGTGCACGTATGCCTATAGGCAGCAGAGCTAGTTAGCAAGCCAAAAAACGAGAGCAGAAAGGCCCCCAGGTAGTGGTGGTCGTTGCGCAGAGCATCATGCTCACACCACTTATTGTCTTGTGGTAGCTCATGGAGGGCAGGATCAATCCCTCAAAATTGGCATGGATGTCAATGCTGAGGATGCTACACATGTCCAGAAAGGGCACAAAAACATTCATTTCTCATAGATTGAGGCTTTCTGGAGAGAGCAGGGCAGGCCCCCAAGGTGGTCTGAAATGACTTTAAATCCAGGGGCCAGTGGCTTTGGTTTTTACTGTGGTTAGGGGGCAGAAGCGAGTGAGTTCTGTGCACAGCCAGGGTTTGTGTGGTTTGAACTTCTCTGCAGGCACCCAGGGAGAGAACACCTGGGCTTTCTCATCAGCTGCTCAGTGTGGGGCAAAGGAAGACAGGTGGGGCCTGTCACACTCTTGAGGACACCGATACAACATGCTGTACAAAATCCTCATTTTGGTTTGGAAGCTCAAATTGTATCATTAGCTACAGGTATTGTCAGGTGTTTTCCTAGAAGTGACAGTCTCTGTTTCTGACCAAGTGTCTGCCAAGCTACCATTGTTTGCTAGTCATCCTTTCAAGTGAAAATGGTGTTCCATGGACAAAGCAGCTGGGACCACTTGCACCTCCATCACACAAATGCTTCTCCTTGTGACCACTATAGTACTTGGGTGTGTAACACAAGTGCTTTATGCTTACTTACCATTTCTTTTCACACACTAGTAAAACGTTTACTCATGCATCAAGATTTAATAAAATGCATCTTGTTTACTGCTTCATCAGGGAAATTTGTAGACAAACTGGCACTTTCCCTTACTGAGAGTGAATGGCAGTGAGGTATATACAATGACTATAGATTTAGCTTGGTGGCACAGCCTGGATACCTGCTGAGGTGCCGGCACTTTCACCCAAAGCTGCTTCTGCACCGTCAGTGGAAATGTCAACTCAGTGAAAAGAACAAACAATGTCTTAGTATTATTATAAAAGTAGTTTTGAACACGCAGCCTTTCTAAAAGTATTTCAGGGACCACCCCCTTCCAGATGTTTGCATTCCGCACTTTGAAGACGGCTGGATAAGATCAGAATCAGTGTCAGGAAAGCCCACTTGCCCTTTCCTGAGGCCACAGTGCAAGGGTTCTACTATGGTGAGAGGGGGTGAAAAATTAGGACCAATAATTTAGTCTCCTATGATGGGTGTTTTACCAATCTCAGCTTCTCTCTAGCCAAACTCACTCAATTTCCATTCCAGGCACTGTTTTGGGAAATTAATAATAAGCAACAAGTAGCTCCTAATGTGATTCCAGACCAGTAGAGGCTGAACATACTCCAATAAATGACCATAAAGCTTTGTTAATAGGTTCTATAATAGAAACATATACTATGGGAACACAGTAACTAAGTCTGCACTGTGGGTTCAGAAAAGGCTCACCTAAGGATGTAATGTTTAGGTTGGGTCTTGAAAGACGAGTAGTTCATGTGGAAAAAGAGGATAGGAACTTTATGCTAGGGAAACAACAGGAGCCGTGACATGAACACCACAAAGAATGAGGCCTGCCGACATTTCTTCAAAACCAGCTGCAACTCTGGGCTTCTATGATTATCTCTGAGGCTCCTTTAATCACCCCAGATCCCAACGTGAGGCTGATTCTCATCCCCACCTTCTTCTCTTTGGCCAGCCATTCACTCAGTCATCAAAATTGTATCAAGCACCTACTAGACATTTTTACTGAGTCGCATCTTATCTTAGTCTGAAGTGGGGAAGGCGAAAATTACAGCTTGAAAATTCCTTAGATCACCTATAACATACAATACCTGTGAAGACACAAAGACTTCTTAGATTTCTTTGTGTCTTCACAAAGCCATACACATTGCATGTTATAGGTGATCTAAGGAATTTTGTGATCCACACTGCATGTAACAAAGGACTTGGACACATTAGACGTTTCCAGTCCTGCCATGAGGCACTCACACTGTGAGAGGCATGTGGGAGCTGAGACCAAGTGAAGGACTTGCAGCTTCATAGCTTCTGGTTCATGGAGGAGCACATGAGCCTGGAAATTTTACATTGTTTTTTTTTTCCTCTCTCTCCCATGGTCAAATCTGTAGATTAAAGCATGTGTGATGAGACTCCCTTCTGTTTTGTCTCTGGTCAACTGGAATTCATCATTTCCTTTCTGCCCCCTCTGTCACCACCCCGCTGGACTCCTGGATTGCTGTTAGAGTCCAGGATAGCTGGCCTCTTACTCTGGTCTCTGCATGCTCCCATCCATTCTTGGCACTAGAGTCAGATGAAGCTCCTAAGACTCCTGGATTGAAGGCCTTCCGCATGATACCCCATAGCCAATTGTACACTCAGCATAGGCAACTTTGTGCCATATGACTTTTATCTCTCTGACTTCTTTCTCCAACCAGAATGGGAGGTCACTGGGAGTAAAAAATCACCTTTTCTCCCCGTGATACCCTCAGACTGTCCCCAAGATAGGACCTGCATGAAGTCTGTTTGCTTTTTTTTTTTTTTTTTAAATAATGGTGAAAAAGACATTGAAGTACATTTTGTCCCTTGCATGCAACTTGGTGTTCACTTGTTTTTTCCCTCTTGTGTCCATGAGGCTCCTCCTTCCCCTGCCTTGAGCTAATCATCTGACAATGATTACTTGCTTTGTGAGCTCTGCACCTAAGAAACATAAAGCTGTCAATCATATTATCTTTTGCAGATCTCTTTTAAAACCTGATTCTCTTAAAGTCCTAAAGCAAATACAACCCGTTTGTAAGCACTTCCAAGGTTGTTCTTCCTCATGGGTACAATCACTTCCTGCTGAGCGAAGTTCTTCTCTTCTGGAGATCCAGTCTCCCACACAGCCACCGTGTGTGGGATACAGCCCCACAGGCATTAGGGGAGCTTTCTTTCATCCCAGTCCAGATGTGTGAAAAAGTAGGGGCCCCCTATCCTTACACCACCACCAAAACTGTGAGTTTAATAAATATTCCTCATTACTTGTGTCCAGCTTCCTTCAAAGAAGAATTCAGGCCAGTTTACAAAGAAAAATACATTAACCATGAAACAAAAAAAATAAAAAAAAAAAGGAAGCAGAGAGCAAAACCTTCATTCTTGTAAGATGGAAAAAGTTAGTGCAAAAATATACACCTTGAAACTTATGTACTTACAAAGACGGGTCATTTATTTGGCCCCTGGCTTTCTTTTGAGGCTCTGCAGTAAGAACTATCATTATTAAGTCATAATGCCCTGAGGTAAAAACAATCCAATTGATTGAAAGAAGCAGAATTCCTATTATTGAGTTCAGCTAGAAACTTCTCCCAAGGATTTCCATAAAGAAAACCCATAAAGTAACGATGTCTTCAACAATGTTCTTAAATAGATGTAGTTGGGGGTTTTGTAGAGCTGTTTCTTATCATGTCCCCAGATATAGCCTTAGAGAATGACTAGGGTGTCTTACAGAAAGGAGGCTTCCTTTAAGTCCTGAATCAGACCAAGGCAGGGCAGGACTGGGCAGAAAACTGGACTGGACAGGGCTGGCAGGGCAGGGCAGGGCCAGGTTGGAGTGGACAGGAAGGGCTGACTGGGCAGGAATGAACGGGCTGGGCAGGATGGAGCAGAATGTGAACTGGGCTGAGCAGGGCTTGGCTGGGCAAAGCAGAGTTGGGCAGGACAGGACAGCACCGGCCAGAACAAGGCATAACTGGGCTATGCTGAGCAGGACTGGGCAGGGATGCCTGTACTGGGCAGAAGTTGTCAGAACTGGGCAAGGCTCAGCAGGACTGGGCAGGCCAGGGCAGAACTGGGCAGGGCTGCTAGTGCTGTGTAGGGGAGGACTGGGCAGGACTGGACAAGGCTGGGCAGGTCTGGGCAGAAAACAAGGCATAGCAGGATAGGGTCTTATACTCTGGAAGGAGTTGCTGAAGGAAGGAGAATGTCCTTTGCTCCCAGCAACCCCAGAACTCTTCCTCCCTGAGCATCGGAAGCCTGCTTGATCGGTTTCACTCTGGACTTTGAACCCTGCCAAGGGTAGCAGAGACTCAGAAGCCTCCCCTGAGGATGTTGTAGGAGTGACTCAATCATCTTGGGCTGGGCAGAGTAGTATCCTCACAGTTGGTGAAGACCGTCTGGATCTAATGTGTCCTCTGCCTCGAAGGTCCTTCTTCTCTGGAAAACTCCTTGTCCTTAAAGACCCAATACAAATAGCACTTCCTCTGTGCCACCTTCTTGATGTTTCAGCTCTGCAATTCTCAGATCCTTCACTACATTTACTATGGGTCACCAATAATGGGTGCTTGTGCCATTCCTAGTGCTGGTTATCATTCCCCTCCTTCTACCCTGCTCACTGATCATGAGTGAGCGTGATGGTACTTGAATGGTCTCTACTTTGACACATCCAACATTAATAACAAACTATTTGCAATATGCTTCACAATTAATGTGTCAAGACACCTCCACTGGGAGTCACTCCTAGGCTGAGATAGATCCAACTGCAGGATCAGAGAATAGAGGTAGAAGGGGCTTTAAGAAGTCTTATCAGGAAACTGAGGCCCTGAGATGATAATTGACTTACCTGAAGTCACTCAGAGAATGAGAAGGAGAATCTAAGCAAATTTCATCTGCCTCTTGGTCTGGTATTGTCACCTGGAAGCCTTTTTTTAAAAACACGGGATTTAATATCTCAGGCACTCTGAGTTAATGGCTCTGAAAGCAAGATTTTTCAAAAGGTGGGTCAGTAACTCCCAGGATTTGGGGACTTCTAGAAATTCTCTGAAATGTCACTTCCCAGCCTGAACTCATGGTTCCTTTACCCCTTGATTCTGTGGCACCCCCAGGGGCTTCCTCCCCTTTTAATGGTTTTGTTGGGCAACTATAGGAGCCCCCAAAGTGGAGTGAGAATCACAAATAAACACACTCAGATCAGCCTGGTGGGAAGGTGATGGGCACTGGAGTCAGACGGACCTGGGTTTGGAGCCCAGTTTGATAGCTTGAGTGAGTCATTGACTATCCCCAAGTTCAGTTTTCTAATCTGTAAACCGGAGATGAGAGTATTCACCACACAGGACTGTCATGAAGATGACAAGACATGAGTACAGAATTCCAGCTCAGAGTAGGTGCTCAGTAGACACATTTGTTGCCTTTCTTCTTGAAAGAGCCCCCAGATGTCATCTGTAAAGACTGTTCATGCCTGGAAGGCAGTTCAGAACAGCACGCTGGTTAGGAACTCAGGCCCTCAAGTCAGACCTCAGCCCTAGTTCAGCTTTGCTGCCTCTTACAGGCTGTGCTGACTTGCATGGGTGAACCTCAGTTTCCTCATTGTTCCTACATTGCACAACCATTGTGAAAATTAAACAAAATA